>NC_000015.10:89017035-89168550 GCF_000001405.40 Homo sapiens | reverse complement strand
GTGAAGAGATGCCACCTCTCCCATGCAAGGGAAGGGCAAAGACATGGTGCCCAGCTCCAGGATCAGCCTTCTGGAAGGTCCTCCTGGGACCTCCCCTGATGTCAGTTACCAAACACCTTTAGTGCCTGGGGCCTCTCCCTGGCCTGTTATTACTAACAGCTACATTAATCTGTTTTTAAATGAGGCTCTATGTATTTAATTCTTATGGGATTAGCACTAGGTAACTATATAATCTTGCTGCCGCTTTTTAAAGTAAGATGAAATCTGAAACACTAGCTGGGCCTTAGACAGATGAGTATTGCACGGCCATTTTGGAAAGGCAACTTGCTGGGAACAGAAAAGACCCCTCACCTTTTTCTCAAGCCCCTACACCTAAAGAAGGACAAGGCAAAGGCTGCCTGAAAGCTATTATTTCAACAGCCACTTCCCCAAATGACACTAGCATGACTAAATAGGCTAAAATACAGGGACTCGAGACTTGGTGTTCCTTGTGGATGGAGACTCTGAGTCATCTCTGTATGTTCCATGCCAGGCCCATGCATGGCATCTGTGGATATGCCACAAAATGTCAGGTGGATAAGAAGGAAGTTTGAATCGTCTGGAATAAAGGCACACAGTACTCGCCAGCATGAGTAAGCAGGGGACATGAAAGAGGTACTTGAATATCTTTCCCACTAAGTTTAGCCTAAGAGAAAAATACAGTTAAGCTAACATGGCTCGCTGACAGGTGGGCGGTTAGGGGCCTAGCAGCCCCTGTCACTTCCATAGTAAAAGTATGTGAGTCATTTCTTAAAGTCAAGGGGAAACTATCTTAAAGCTGAGTCATCCAGGAATACAATAGCTGTAGAAATAAAGTTAAGGCCCCTTTGTGCTATCAAATTAGTTGGCCTTGCCCTTATCTCTGAAATAAGGATTTTAAAAAATGAGTGTTTTCAGCCTTGTTTCCCCAGGTATAGGATGCCTAAAACTGCCCTCTTATGGCTAAAGGTTTAAGTATTCAGATATCATCCTGAAAGTGCAGAACTCACCACTCTTGGCCACTGTTCTGCTTTGGATATGACTCCCTGACACACTTCCTGAAGCTCCTGGCCCCTGGCTCTCAGCAGACGATCTTGCCAGGTGTTTTACTACGATGTCTGAGTTCTGCAAACTCACTACCTTCACTTTCACATTCTCTCTCTCCCTTCACCCATCTCTTCCTCCTCCCTTCCCATTGTGCCCTTCTGCCATTATAAAACTCAACTGTTTAATGCAGAGGCAACACAATTCATAACTATGAATACAATTCAAAATTGAGTCTACACCAATGAAAATGGTAGATATGAGAAGCTTATCGAAACACCTATGTTTATGATCTAATAGAAGATTGTAAGATATTAAGCAGTAAAAACAAAATAGAAGTTCCTTAAAAATCACTGCCTGAAGCTCTTACAGTGAGATGTCTTGGATCATGGGTGATCTCTACAGCATGCTAAAGGTAGGTAACCCTACATCCTAGTCTCTCCAAGAGGGTCCTGGAATGTATTGTTCTGATGCAGTTATTAATAAAGTTATGAATTATTATAACGTTATTAATAAAGTCCCTTTTTACTCTCAAAAGTGTCTCAATTGGAATGTGTAATTAGATGGAGGGAGATGGGGTCTCCCTCCCTTCTAAGACTGAAGTCCCGTCCTCTAAGCAAGACCAAGTTTTCTGACCTTACCTTGAGGTTCCAAAAGATTGTTTGTATATATGTTTGTTTGTTTTAAGAGATAGGGTCTCACTCTGTAGCTCAGGCTGTGCAGTGGCATGATCACAGCTCAGTGTAGCCTTGAACTCCTGGGCACAGCGCTTCTAGAGTAGCCGGGACTACAGACATGAGCCACCATGCCCAGCTAATTTATTTTTATTTTTTGTAGAAATGAGGTCTCACTGTGATTAAAGGTGTGAGCCACTGTACCCAGCCCAAGAGATAATTTTTGTTTTGTTTTTGAGACAGGGTCTCACTCTGTCACCCAGGCTGGAGTGCAGTGGCATGATCACGGTTCACTGCAGCCTTAATCCAAAAGATAGTTTAAAAAACAAAAAAGTTCCTGTATTAAACCCAGTTGGACATTAAAGATTTCCTCCTCCCAGCAAGAGAATTCAATGCTGTGATTTCACGTACTTCCTCACAGCTTGATGTCTAATGCCCGAGAGTCAAGAGTTTAGAAATAAGGGAAGGGCCCACTTCTTCCCTGTTTAAACTCACAGGAAAAAAGCAATTTAAATATTCGAGGCCATTTTCAATGCCAAATGCCCCAGCTTGGTGTTTTGGTGGGAGATGGGTACTAAGTTCTTAGAAGGCTCATGATCCTAAGGGACTCGTTACCTTTGGGGAGCCAGAGCCAGGTTATTTTTATTCCTTTCACTTGACATAGAAGATATTGTTTTTAATCCTATTTTTTTCTCTCTTTAAATCAAGATCAAACTAATAAGATCCTTTGTTACTTGGCTCTTGATTTTCTGGTGATAAAACTTTCAAGATATGAAGGTATGATATGGAGGCCAGAATAAGCACAAGCTGGAAAATTCTGGTTTTCAGTTTATTCTTTGGCTAGTGGATTTGATCTACCTCTTCTTTGCTCTGAACATGAATACTGGACTGTTGGGATAAGGCACTCGGCCAAAGAGAGACAGAAGAAGCAGAATGCTGCCTGAATTCACTGGGCCCCTACAGAATCACTGACAAAAACACTCACATTCCAAACATTGTTTAGTTTAGAAGGTCAATTAAGTCAATAAAGAGTAAGCCAACATGTCTACTGCTGCAGTGCCTCGATTAAAGATTAGGCTCTTTATAATAAATACACTTCAAGAAAATCTTCATGACTTCTTCATCTTCCTTGATTTCCAAGTGTTATTGACCTCACCCACATGACAGGGTTGTTTACCTGGCCTGACCCAGTAGAGTACCCTATTAGTTAAAAAAATTTTTTTTTTTTAGAGACAAGGACTTGCTATGTTGCCCAGCTGGTCTTGAACTCCTACCCTCAAGCTATCCTCCTGCCTTAGTCTCCTGAGTAGCTGAGATTACAAGTGCATGCCACCTCGCTTGGCACAATAAGAAATTTAAGACAGTTTGGTAAACTTTACTCTTGTAGGTGTTCTTCACATTTATTTTTACTCAGGTTAGCTAATGTCTTTATCAAAAGAGACATATTTAGTATTTTCCAGTTTAAAGAATTTATGAACTATACAAAAGTTAAGTGTGAGGAATTTTTTTAAAAAAAAAAAACATTTTTTAGAAGGTTAAAATGTAGCATGTACTACAGTAAAAACTCTTTCCAGTACTGATTTTAAGGGCTGGCTCTGTATATAGAAGCCAGTGGCTTTGAGCTGGAGGCGTGTGGCCCAAACAGATTTGGCCAAGAGGCCAATACTGAAGGTTGTCCAGCTGGAAAGCAAGCATTGCATACTGCAGAATAATCACCACAGCCGACATCCCTGTACACAGAGCTGTAACTCAGACTGAGCTCAAAGAAGGAAGAATTTTATGCTCAACACGAGCAGGTTCTTAAACTCGTCCTTGCAGAAATTCCAAAGTTCACATGAGGTCAACTGTATGAACTGGATGCAGAGGTAAGGTCATTTAACAGTTCAAGTAAATGTTTACCTTTTCTCCTCTAAGGTGGCTCACAGAAAACACAAAGTTAGAGTGAAGGGCCAATGAAGATGATAATCGTTATTGTTTACTGGTATTTGCTGGACTCTATGCCATGCACTTTTATATTATTGCCATTTTTTTTTTTTTAAAGACAGGGTCAGTCTCTGTCGTCTAGGCTGGAGTGCAGTGGCGTAATCTTGGCTCACTGCACTCCTGGGCTCAAGCGATTCTCCTGCCTTTGCCTCCCAGGTAGCTGAGATTACAGGTGTGTATCATCACACCTGGCTTTTTTCATTTTTAGTAGAGATGAGGTTTCACCATGTTCTATCAGGCTGGTCTCAAACTCCTGGGCTCAAGTGATCTGCCAGCCTGGGCGTCCCAAAGTGCTGGGATTACAGGTGTGAGCCACCATGCTGGGACTTATTGCCAAATTTCTTAACAGTCTTTCTCAGCTTTCTCGACCAGGCAGTCAAACCTTCAGCTGTTGGACTATAAAGCACAGGTTCTCTCCCGCTGCAGGCCTTTCCTGACCATCTCTCTCTAAGTGATACACTAGATGGAGGAGATTAACACACAATAATATAAAAATTAGAAATGCAGATCTGGTCCCTGTCTGTGAAAAGGTTGCTGTTGGTAAATATTCCTTTTGGACAAACCTAGCCAATAAGCTTAGACCGACTGTGACTGTGCACCCTCCTTCCCCAACTAGATGGTGAGAGTTCCTCATAGACTGGGATCTTCCTGAAGGCAGGGACTCGAATCCACACCTGTATTCCCATCGCAGAGGCTGGCCCCATCATTGTCTGGAGGATGCTGGCTGAACAAAAGATCAAAGACCAAACCCACAGGTCCAATTCTGTGGCTCTGAGATGCTCTTGGATGCTCTTTTGCCTTAAGCCTAAAATGTATCTGACTGGGAACTATTTCCTCACTCCTTAGTCTCTTACATGGAGAGGCAATGGAGCCTGTTGTTCAGGAGCACGGATTCTAGGACTAGACTGCGAGACTGCCTGTGTTTGAAGCCTGGGCTGCCCACTCATTAACTCTGTGATTTAGAGCAAGTCAGTCATCCTTGTCGGGCCTCAGTTTCCTCACCTGTAAAAGGGGTGTGACTGATTTAATATATCCTACAAAGTATTCACAACAGTGCCTGGCACACAGCAAATGCTATGTAAGTGACAGCTATCAGAACAGTAATGACCACTACCACCAAAGTGGGGAAAATGTCTTTTTAAATACTCAAACATCACACCTGCTCCTCTGTATTCTAATGAACAGTATCCTAAATAGGAAATGAACACTACCACAGAGGTGGTATTAAGTTAGGGTTAAGAATCACATTGATTGAAGGCTGGTTCTGCCACTCACTAGTCACATGACTCAGGTCAAGGTACTTAACCTCCCTAAGCCTGTGAAGTGGGGATACTAATTAAAACCTACCTCTGAGGCAGTAAGGATCAAGTGAAGTAACGTGAAAGCACATGCCTGGCACTCATTAGAGTGAGATAAATGGTAACTGCTGTCATGAAGAATTTTCCTTAATGAATTTATCTTTCAAAGGCAGCACGAAGGGTTCTAAGTCACAAGAATGCTTAATTATCCATTTAGGAAATTCTGTGCAAGGCAGATCTGTTTTCAACAATTTCTAATCACATTAGCAAAGCTTATGTGGTTTGGAACAGAGTTGGGTTGATAAATGGGAAAAGATCCTTTATAATTTTCTCAGAGAAATCTGAGGCAGGTGCATAACAGCAAAAGAAGAATATAGAGTTTCATGTTAATGCCCTCTTTAGTTTTCTTCTGGTCAAGATCACAGTTGCAAAAAGCCCAAAGGGTATTCACAGTGACTTGAATGCCTGGCATCTGCTCAAAAGAGAGGCAATGTGCCTAAGGGAAGACTCACATATAGGGCACAATGGTTTGGGATGTACTAGTTTGTAAAGTATCATTTTACAGTCACAAACTGTCAGTTCCCATCTCAGTAGGCATTCAGTAAACACTGATGCAGTGAATGCTTTCTAGGGTCCAAGCAGGATTCTAGACACTGGGGAACTACAGCAGGGAGTGCGAAAACTGCCTGCTCTCATGGAGTGAACTTCTGGGATGGAGAGACAGATGATAGCCATATAAACAAATAATTTCACAGGTTATGAAAACAAATCCTTAATTTCAAATCTTAAGTGGCTTGAAGAAAGTAAGGAGGGGCATTAGATAATGACTGGGGTTGGGGGGGAGCTTTAGATGAGGGAGAGGAGTCAAGGAAGGGCTCTCTGAGAGGGTGACATCTTGGTTGAGACCTGAGTGACAAAGAGAAGCCAAGTGAAGACCACAGAAGGGCCTTCCAAACAGAACCTGGGCAGTCCTGGGATTAGCAGGCACTGGAGTTCAGTGCCTGGAATTTCCATACACTCAGGGTGGGAATAGGGGGCCTGATGGTGGACTGCAGTATGTCCTGGGGATCCAGAGAGCTCCTCCAATGTCACATCCAGTGACCCCACCTGGAAGAGGCTTACTTGGTTGGGGACCTATTAAAAATGCGTGGAAGGAGATCGAAAAGTGGCATAAGAGACCTATCAGCCAATTGCAATATATGGACCTGACTTGGATCTTAAATTGAACAAAAGAATTAAAATGGGAAAAAAAGCAGGAAGACAATGGGGAAATTGAATTGCTCTTGAGGAGTACTGTTTTAAGTGTTTCCGTTGTGATGATGCCATTGTGCTTCTGTTATGTTATGGGCTGAATAGTGTCTCTCCCAAGATTCATATGCTGAACTCGTAACCCCCGGTACCTCAGAATGTGACTATATTTGGAGATAAGGCTTTTAAAGATGTAATTAAGCCAAAATGTGGTTGTTAGGGTGGGCCCTAATTCAGGATGACTGGTGTCCTTTTAAGAAGAGATTAGGACACAGAGAGATACCAGAGACACAGGTGACTGTAGTGTGAATCCACAGCAAGAAAACAGTCATTTACAAGCCAGGAAGAGAGGTCTCAGAAGAAACCAACCCTGCTGACACCCTGATCTGGGACTTCTAGGCCCCAGAACGGTGAGAAAATAAATTGCTCTTGTATAAGCCACGCCCACTGTGGTATTTGGATATTGCAGTCCTAACAAATGAAGACAGTTTACAAAGAGCCTGTGTATCTTAGTGATGCACACTGGAAATAGTCACAGATGAAACTGGACAGGCTGTCTGGGGCTTGCTTCAAAATAATCTTTGAAGCTGGGTGCAGTGGCTCACGCCTGTAATCCCAGCACTTTGGGAGGCCGAGGTGGGCGGATCACCTAAGGTCAGGAGTTCGACACCAGTCTGGCCAACATGGTGAAACCCTGTCTCTACTAAATATACAAAAATTAGCTGGGTGTGGTGGCGGGTGCTTATAATCCCAGCTACTAGGGAGGCTGAGGCAGGAGAATCACTTGAACCTGGGAGGCAGAGGTTGCAGTGAGCTGAGATTGCACCATTGCACTCCAGCCTCGGCAACAGAGTGAGACAGTGTCTCAGAAAATAAATAAATTAATTAAATTAAAATAAAACAAAATAATCTTTGAGAGGGGATGCCAGAAGGGAGTAAAGGAAACAAGATGGGCCATGAGTTGAACAATTGTTGAGGTTGGGTAAAGGGTACACTGGGGTTTATTCTACTATTCTCCCTACTTCTGCATATTTTGAAATGTCTGTAATAAAAAGTAAAAAAGCAAAAATAAAACTAATGAGGGAACAAGGAGTAAAACCTGTATCTGTGGCTCTGAAAAACCTTGGCTATACCTTAGACTCCCGGAGAGCTAAGCCACTGGCACAGGTATCTTTTAAAAGCTCCCATGGGAAATTCTAGTGTTGACAACAAACTGACCTACACAAAGAGAACTAGGAGTTCTTTTAGGTAGAAATAAAGGAAGACTTGAAGGAAAAGGTCATGCTCCTGGATGAGAAAAGTAAGTATTATAAATTTTTCCACATTAATTTATAAATTAAAGTTCCCCTTCAGAAATTGTGATAAACTGTGCGAGAGTTCACCACCAATAACTACTTTCCATCTCTAGGAAGGATGCTTCTCCCCCACCCCACTGAAGTTAGGCTTGGTCGTGTACTGTACTTTGACCAATAAAGTGTGACCAGGAGTGACCTCTGTCATTTCTGAGGAGAAGCTTCAAGAGCCACACTCTTCCTACCCTCTGCAATGTTCCAGCAGGTAGCTGCTCCATGGGCCTGGTTCCTTGAGTGAGGACCATAATGATGGAGACACAGAGGCCCCTCAGCTAAGCCATAATGGATGGATAGTATGGACAGAAATCATTGCTTTAAACCACTGAGATCCAAGTTGTTTCCACAGCATAATCTAGTCCATCTTGACTAATAAGACAAAAACTCAACATGGAACTGGACACAATAATTCTTTGGTTCAAATGAAAAAAGAAAAAAAAAAAACAGGTAGGCAGACAAGAGCATACTCTGAAATAGCCATGAGTCAGGGTTGGTACCATCAGATATCAGGCCATATTGCAAGGCAACAATAATTAAAAATTGAGAACAGTACTGGGTGTAGAAACAAAAGTTGACAAAGATCTTTGTACTAAAGTATAGAAAGCCCACACATCAACAACTAACACACTTACATGAGGATATGATTAACTATGATAAAAGGTTTCCAGTTCTAGCATGTTAACTGTGGACCTGCCTCAATTAACCAGTCAAAAGTAACAAACACGGGCTTTGCTCTAACGTGTTAGGCCACCTTTGGTGAAGGATTGCTCCTTTTCCACCAGCCCAGGAAAACATTTATTAAAAACTTTATTTTAAACTAAAATTACATCAATAGCACCTAACGAAACACTAGCGCTTTCTCTCTCTAGGCTCTTTGAAGCTACGAAAGATGTTTTAATTTTTACATTTCAACAAAGCATCCAAATTCTGGATTTCTGACCTTTTTAAGGTCCTATTTGTTTGAGCTTATCCTCCAATGGTTAAAAGAAATTATTAACAAGTAAAACATGTACTGATACACACAAAAAAACAAATAGTATGGCTAGAAGAAGACACCCATTTTTTTTCTAGGTCACCTGTCTTTCTAGAACATTTCTAAAGTATAATAAACTACAGAAATTTACTTCTAAAATTCTGATGAAATAAAATGTAACAACACCATCCACAAATTGAAGGAGATAGTTAATTTTCAAAATTGGGGGCCTGAAGCTCTCCCCTGATGGATTCACCTCATCTCCAAGGGTTTTTCATGCTCACAGGCAGCTCCTCAGTCCAAACATACAGTGCTCTTAAGGCAGCTGTGAATGCTGCTCTTCTGCATGGGTTGCCCTTCCATAGCGCACTCCCCTGTCTACAAACTCCAACTGTTCATGAGTGCCTCTGTTTAGGAGCTCATCTTTGAGAACCCAGCTCAAATGCCTTTCCTGGGAGAATTCTTCCTCCCACAACTTGACTCCTCGCCCATAGATCGAGGCTGGTTTCTCCATGCTGCTGCAGCACATTCACCAGGCCCGCTGTGTTAGTCCACTCATCACACTGTATTGTAATTCCTTTTTTTTTGAGATGGAGTCTCGCTCTGTTGCCCAGGCTGAAGTGCAGTGGTGTGATCTCGGCTCACTGCAACCTCCGCCTCCTGGGTTCAAGTGATTCTCCTGCCTCAGGCTCCCAAGTAGCTGGGATTACAGGTGCCTGCCACCATGCCTGGCTAATTTTTGTGTTTGTAGTAGACACAGGGTTTCACCATGTTGGCCAGGCTGCTCTCAAACTCCTGACCTCAGGTAATCTGTCCACCTCAGCCTCCCAAAGTGCTGGGATTACAGGCATGAGCCACCGTGCCCGGCGTTGTATTGTAATTCTTTAACGACACTCACATCTCCCTGGCAGAACACATCTTATTTATCTGGGTCACAAACAGCACGGTTAATCTCTCACCAACATGAATATACCTTCAAGTATTTGAATAAGAATAAACCTGGCTGGCACGGTGGCTCACATCTGTAATCCCAGCACTTTGGGAGGGCGAAGTGGGTGGATCACTTGAGCTCAGGAGTTCGAGACCAGCCTGGACAACATAGTGAGACCTTGTCTCTACAAAAAATTAAAAAATGAGGTGGGAAGCTGGCTTGAGTCTGGGAGGTTGAGGCTTCAATGAGCCATGATTGCACTACTTCACTCCCTCCTGGGTGACAGAGTGAGACTCTGCCTCAAAAAAACAAAACAAAACAAAACAAAAAGAATGAACCTAACATACAATAAATGTTTACTATATGTAATCAACTGCCTACCAAGTCCTCAGTAACCCACATTTAATTGTAGCTCCACCTTACTGCAGCTGAAGAATCTGGAACTGAGTTTAAGAAACTGCTCGAGCCACACAGCATCAGTGGCAGTGCTGGGGCATCGGATCCAGAGCCTGTCTCCTGACCCAGGTACTCTCTGGGAGCAAGGCCTGCACTTAACCTATTCTTCTCTGCTCTTCAGCTGCTGGTCTCCCCTGACCTGGTGTGGTAACGCCTTCCAATCTGGTCTCTTTGGCCTACAGCCCCAACAGTACAGCACTCTGGAGCTGGGAGGCCTAGACTATACAGACCCAGTTACTCTGCTATCTCTGAGATGATTCCGGCAGCCAGATCCAGGCTCCTCTCTTAGCTCTTCTACTTACTGGCTCTGTGCCCTTGCCCAAATCACTTAACCTCTCTATGCCTCAGTTTTTTCATCAGAATTTTACGGTCCCATGGGTTGCTGTGGAGATAAAAGAGATTGTGCCTACATGTGACATCAGTACTGTGTCTGGTGCACATTAAGTGTTCCCACTGGCACACAGTAAGTGTTCACACTGTACTGTTAGTGCTCCCAAATCTCCATCCTGGCCCTGCAGCCAAGCCATGCCTCCCCATCTTCTACTTGTATAGACAATCTATATATCCAAGCACAGGACATTACCATTATTCCCCATTGTTTTCTTTGTGTTTGATTTGGCCTATTTCTGACTTTTGGGTCCAATTCTGTCTCCCACATACTCACTATTCACCCTGTGCCTGTGCTATCTGTAAATCTGGACATTCACCTATTTATTTATTTTTTTTAATTTTTTGAGATGGAGTCTCACTCTGTCACCAAGGCTGGAGTGCAGTGGCGCGATCTCAGCTCACTGCAAGCTCCACCTCCCAGGTTCACGCCATTCTCCTGCCTCAGCCTCCCGAGTAGCTGGGACTACAGGTGCCCGCCACCACGCCCGGCTACTTTTTCGTATTTTTAGTAGAGATGGGGTTTCACCATGTTAGCCAGGATGGTCTCCATCTCCTGACCTCGTGATCTGCCTGCCTTGGCCTCCCAAAGTGCTGGGATTACAGGCTTGAGCTACTGCGCTCGGCCAAATTCACCTATATTTTCAAGCTACTGACCAAACTGCTGAACAGAACGGAGTCTGTAAAATGGGTATCTTCAGCTGTGGGTGTGAATACAGAAGAGGAAATGAACTCAGGGCACCCAACACCCTGCTTGGCACAAAGCAGGTATACCTGTTCATGCTTCCATACCTGTGACCTTCCCTTACCTGCCCTTATAGGAGACAGTGCCCTTGCATGTTACCAGTGGCAACGTAATTGGAATGACCTTGCTGGAGGTCAATCTGACAAGATGTACAAATATGCATAAAAAAATGTTGACTCTGCAATTTTACTGGGCATTTACTCCAAGGTCATTCAAGAGAAAATAATTCTATGTACAAGACACAGTATTTACAGCATTGTTATTTAAAATGCTGAAAAACTTTAAATAATTCATATGTCCTACAAAGATAAATGGTTAAATAAACTATAACAGAGTAGTAACAGCAATGTGGCTCTTAAACAGATTAAACATCTTTATGTTGGTGAATATAGAGTTATTTAAATAAATCACCATAGATATACATGCTATGACTGCAATAAATAAAAACTATGTAGACATTGATAAAGACAGAAGGGTAGTTGGAAGAAATAGAAAATTATAGTTATGGTGAGATGATAGATATAATTTTTAGTTATTTCCCATTAAAACATATTACAATTTATTTGCTTATAACATCCCAAATATTTGTGCATATACAGATGCATATTTTATGTGTTTATTGTTTATGTATACATATATAATCTAAAGAGAGAGCTAATAAGAATCAAGAACAAGCAGTCCAGAAGCCAGAACCTTAGCTAAAACAGGATTTTTTTTTTTTTTCAGACAGAGTCTTGCTCTGTTGCCCAGGCTGGAGTGTAGTGGCATGACCTCTGCCTCCCGGGTTCAAGTGATCCTCGTGCCTCAGCCTCCTGAATAGCTGGGATTACAGGCGTGTGCCAGCTAATTTTTGTATTTTTAGTAGAGACAGGGTTTTGCCATGATTGCCAGGCTTGTCTTGAACTTCTGACCTCAAGTGATCCACCTGCCTCAGCCTCCTAAAGTGCACTATTTATGGTGAGGGGTTGGTTTTGAAAATGTCCAGTAAGTCATGAACAGATGCTTTTGAAAAAGACAATAAAAAGGCGGGGCGCGGTGGCTCATGCCTGTAATCCCAGCACTTCGGGAGGCCGAGGTGGGCAGATCACGAGGTCAGGAGATCGAGACCATCCTGGCTAACATGGTGAAACCCTGTCTCTACTAAAAATACAAAAAAATTAGCCAGGCGTGGTGGCGGGCACCTGTAGTCCCAGCTACTTGGGAGGCTGAGGCAGGAAAACAGAGTGAACTCAGGAGGCGGAGCCTGCAGTGAGCCAGGATCGTGCCACTGCACTCCAGCCTGGGTGACAGAGCAAGACTCTGTCTCAAAAAAAAAAAAAAAAAAAAAAAGACAATAAAAATTAATTACTAGAGAAGGGATTACAGGCATGAGCCACCACAACTGGCCCAGCTAACACAAAATTTTAATTCAAATCAAGAAGCATTCGTCGAAAGACGAGATCTAGTTCCTGTTCCCCAGGAACCTAAAATCCAGTGAGTTGCTACTGTGCCAGGCTCCCTTCCCACTGACATTCACATGCCTCATCACACCCTTGCCTGTCAGTCACAAGAGTCCTGAGGAACGAGCATCAGAACAGCACAGTCCTGAAGGTCATGAGCTCTGCTACCCGATCTACCTGGCTCCCAGCCCTGCTGTGACTCTTACTAGCTAGGGGACCTTGGGCAAGACTTTCCCCTGTAAGCTTCAGTTTCTGCCTCTGTGAGGGTGGTTATAGTGCCCATCTCAAAGGCTGGTGTGAGGCATGGCATCATCAATGCCCAGTACAAGTTGGCTGTTGATATAACCGTGTGACCTACCATCTCTTGCAGATGGGCATAGGTTTAAAACTTAAAAAAAGAAAAAACAAGGCAGAAGCAGAAGTAGTAGCACACTTGCAGAAAAAGGGAGGACTCCACTTAGCCATGCTTACCATAGGTGAACATGCGTGGCGAGGTCAATTCAATGTTGGGCAGGGCACCCAGGTGGTTCAGCACGGCGCACCGATAGCCATTTTTCTGGGCGTAGTCAACGAAAGTGCGGATGTATTGCTTCTCGCTGTGATTGGCAATTCCAGGGCAGATGACCATGGTGATATCATCTATAGCGTAGAGAAAGAGATCCTGATGTATCCAAGAAATGTGACATGATAAATGGACATAATTACACTTCACTGGTCTAGAAAACAAGGGGAGGGAATTCAACATACATCTTTCACTCAGTTCTCTGGGGAAGAATTTTTCCCTTCTAGCTGGAGCTGTCTATATCAGTGCTTCTCAAGCTATTTATAGTGAAGGGTTTGTTTTGAAAATGTCCAGTAAGTCATGAACAGATACTTTTGAAAAGACAATAGAAGTTAATTACTGGAAAAATGAAATGAAAAATATACAAACCTCAATTTTCTACTATAAGATTCAACAAATATAAAATTACTCTGTCACATTGCTATAGAAGTTCCTGAACATTACTCTTAATTTCTGTAAGAAATTCTATATGAATGAATGAATGAGAAGATAAAAAGTGGTGTTTGCACAGACCTCTTTGACCCAGCAATTTTACTTTCAGTTATTTATCCGACAGATGTAATTGTACATATGTAAAACAATATATATGCATTAGGTTGTGTTCAATCATGCAATACATATTCTTTTGCATATGGCTGAACACAATCTAAATGCCCAGAAATAGGGGTCTGGTTGGATAAATTATTGCATATCTAAGTGATGAAATATTATGAAGCCCTTAAAAATAATGAGACATCTTTATATACACTCATGTGGCAAGCTCTTCCATAAATTAAGTGAAAAAATGCTAAATGCAGAAGGGGGTTATAATAATGCTGCCTTTTGTGTGGAGAAAAAAAAGATATCTATATTTACAAATGCATCCACTATCTTGGAATCACACACAAGAACCTTGAGAGTGGGTACCACTGAGCAGGGGTAGGGATGGAGAGTAGAGGACAGAGAGAGAGATACTTTCACTGTATACTGTTAGTACCTTGTGAACTTTCTATCATGAATGTGACTTGCCTACTTAAAAATATGAATACATACTTTTCTTTAAAAGAAAAGAGGTGCTTAGGTCATTAAATTTGATCATAATTTTTCTTCAAATTAAGATTTTTAAAATTTAGAAATTCTTAATGCTGGTAGGGAAATGTGAATTAGTAAGCAATTTTCCAATATGCATAAAGAACCTTAAAAATTTTGTAAACTGTTGGATGTAGTGGCACACGTCTGTATTCCAACCATTTGCGAGGCTGAGGCAGGAGGATCGTTTGAGCCCAGTAGTTCAAGGCTGTAGATCACAATGACCGTATCTGTAAACAGTCACTGTACCTCTAAACAGGGCAACACAGCAAGACTCCATCTCTTTATAAAATTTATAAGCTTCGACCTAGTAAATTCCAATTCTTGAAATCCTGCCTAAAATTTTCTGATGAAGGATGATATAATTATTGATAATCACAAAGTTGTAAATAAGTTAAATGCCCAACCATAGAAGAATGGTTTAATTATAATATGACCACATTGTAGAATATTAAGCAATTATTAAAATTGTGTTTTTGAAGACTTTTAGAGTTTTAATACATGGGAAAGTCTTTATAATATCACATATGATAATTCAGATTTTGGAAAAACAATGCATAGAACTGTAAGAAAATGGAACAAAACGTTAATAATATATGTTGGGTGACAAAATTATGGGTGATTCTTATTTTTTAAATGTATTATTCATATTTTCTAAAATCAGTACTTCTTTTATAGTCAGAAAAAAAATCAGAAAAGGTGAAAAAGAGCTGTTTTTCTTAAAGTACATCTTAGGTACAAATACTGCCTTCCCTAGAAGCACCTTTGTCAGTCATTTCTGGGGGCAGGAGTGATGGAAAAACATGAGCAAGTACAAGGAAGAATCACTCTTCTGCCCTTTTCAACTTTCCATGTTGGTCCTGGTAGGAAGAGCAGATGGTCAAACTAAACTTTGTGCTTTAGTGGTAGAAGAAGAAAAAGCATTAGAAATAAGGGAAAGAAAACATTTAACTGGGTATGGTGAATAAATAACTATTGGAAAAACCAGCTACAGATTTATAAACACAGTGTGAACTCCTCACCTATTCATGTATTCATCTCTTCCATGGCTGTTTATTAGAAGCCAGCTATTCGGGGCTCTGGGGATTCCTACATTCTAGCAGATAAATAATACACAAGCACACAAATAGGTTTCGAGAGTAGAAGCTACCACGAAGAACTAAAGCAGGAAGTCGTGATGGATTTACTGAGAAGGAAACACTAGTTAGGGGAGTCAGAGACAGTCCCTCTGAGGAGATGACATCTGAGCTGAGACCTGAATGACAAGGAGGAGGCAGCCATGTGAAGGTCTGGGGACCAGCATTCCAGGCAGAGGGAATATCAATTAAATCTTTGTCACCAGCTACTCAGCAGTTCTAGCCACTTTAAATACCTAATATGTTTACTGGAATTTACCCATAAATAACTACTGAGTTCCTATTTAAAAAAAACAAAAAATAAGTTGCTTTTGAATACTATAGAATGCAAAAGACATGTTCTCTTTTGGTAGCAATAGCATTCAAAAGGATGCTTGTAGTAACTCCACTTCCTCAAAAGTCTTCATTATGAAGCATTTTAGAATGAATGCTATTTGTATAGGCTAGACAGAACAATGCCAAATTCCAGCAGCAATGAAAATTTCAGTTATCTCTCAGAAATAGGTGTCCTAGACCACTGCATGATAGATATGACCTCAATGTGTCTATTTGTCCAGGGAAACCTAAGCAAAGGGAACCTGGGAGCCTTTTAATCTACTGCTATCCAACAAACGCCAGCCTATACTGCATCTCCGAGCTTCAGTTTCCTCATCAGTAAAGTAGGGATAGTAAATACCAGCCTCACAGCGCTATTTGAGGATTAAATGAGATAACAGTATACACGAAGCACTGAGAATGGTCTGGCCTCTGTTGCTGTCATCAACCCAGAGGCCTGGTCCTGGGGTGCCTGGGCTCCAAGCACTCCCTCATCCCCGTACATCAAGCTTCTGTATTTCACAACAGGATTAAAACCTATTCTACGGCTGGGGGCGGTGGCTCACGCCTGTAATCCCAGCACTTTGGGAGGCCGAGGCAGGCAGATCACGAGGTCAGGAGATCGAGACCATCCTGGCTAACACAGTTAAAACCCGTCTCTACTAAAAATACAAAAAAAAAATTAGCCGAGCGTGGTGGCTGGCGCCTGTAGTCCCAGCTACTCGGGAGGCTGAGGCAGGCGAATGGAGTGAACCTGGGAGGCGGAGCTTGCAGTGAGCCGAGATCGTGCCACCGCACTCCAGCCTGGGCGACACAGCGAGACTCCGTCTCAAAAAAAAAAAAAAAACTATTCTACAATGAGTTCTGAAGAGCTTTACATGGTGACTGGCAAACATACGCTGAAGCTAACCTTTGCAGGCTGCTCCTAAGTGACGAATCCCAGCAGGCTTCCCAACAGCCCCTGATGCCATGGGCAGAGTCAGTGGCACAAGTATTCACACTGCTGTGCTCTCCACTGACTAGTGCTCCTTCTCTGAGTGATGGCTCAATCACACAATCTAAAGCAGCTCACCTCCAACACAGTGCTCAGCCAAGGGCTCGAAGAGGTCGAATGTAGAAGTGGCTCCATCAGACATAGTGATGAACTTCCGGTGCCCATAAGGATGTGGCGACCTCACCCTTCCCATCTTCCCATACAAGGCTGTCTGGATGTGTCCACTTTTCCCCCAGATCAACGGTGGAATGTATCTAAAGAAAGGACAAGGGAGGTCAATTTTCTCTACATTCCTTGAGCAACGTTCTGAAAAATCTTTTAGCAAAACTCTTTCAACCTATTTTTGTTCCAGGGAAATTCTGCACACAAAGCATAAACATGAGGCTTTTATTACGTTACATCCGTGCCATGATTTACCGCCTTTCCCCATTTACTAATACACTCTGCATCAGATTAGCTTTAGAAATCAACCAGGACATATATATAAAGAGGATTTCAATTTAGGGTAACTGTTAAGTAATTCAACATGGCTTATTTCCATAATATAGAATAAAAAGAAAGCAAGTGATATATTTTGAACACATTCTAACTTGACAGGTTAGCTCATTATTAAAGGAGCTGATGTATATGAAATAGCATAGCGCCTACACTCACTAAAAGCTCACTTCTTCTTTCCCTAACGAGACAGGCCACAGCTGTAGTGGTTACTCCATTAGCCAAACCTGCTACTCTCAGTTAGTGCTGGGAAGGGCTGCAAATTCTTCTAAGAGCCTGTAAGTGCCTTGTGGGGTGAGGGCACTACTCTATGCTCCAGAGAATATGCTGTAAGGGCAGTGCAGTGTAAATATTTGTTGGATTGATTAAGGATAAAGGCTTGTTAGCCTACGCAAGGCATGAAGCCTCGCTAACAACGGTGCATTGTAAAAACACAGAGTGACTCTAGGCGTTGGTAGGAAATGCAAAAATCACAAATAGTTAATTACCAGGAAAAGAAGATGATCCAAGTTACAACTAAGAAATGATTATGGTTTACAACCACAGTACAAGGTGACTGCATTTACTGAAACCGCTGTTGGTTTCACTTCCATGGCTTTTAGCCCAAGCTTGATGGTTGTCCAGGATTTGTCTCCTATATAAACTGGAGTCGTATAATATAAAATGATAGTGACGTCAATCATTCCCCTCTGTATTATATGGCAGTGGTGAGTGTTTTATTAATAATTTACCTTAACCTACTTGCCTATCATTTCTCTCAGAACCAGATGATCCCCAAAACCCATCTTTGATTTACTCCTTGTATGTGTGTGTAATTAATCAAATCTACACAAAGTTAAGAGAAGTGAAGCTATCACCTTAAGCAAACCAGTTCCCAGACAAGCTTCCTTTTCGGGGGAGGGGAGGAGGGGAAAGAGTATTTTAAGACCTTAAGGACATGAAGCCACTTGCCAGCGTAACACCACAGGTGCAAATATCACTGCAAAAGCCATGGCATTTGGAAGGCAGGCGAAGGCATTTATAAGAGCTGAGTGGATTATGACAGTAACAAAAAGCAAGCTTATAAAAATGTCAATTGGACAACCAAACACTATACAAGATCTAGATACAGAACTTATAAAGGATTTCAGACTACCAAGTTAGATAATAAGTTTTGCATAGAGGAAGAGGACTATCCAAGAAATTAAGCTTTTGATCACTCCTGGAGGAAAGTTTAAAGAAAATTTTGTTTATAAATTAAAAGTGGAAATATGCTGAGCTTAAAAATATCAGAAGAATGAGTAAATTTCATATGCCTACCTTCTGATCATGTTTAGAATACAATATAATCTCAGAAAATAGAACAAAAGAATGAAGTAAAATTTCTTTTTGTCTAGTCACAGATTTCACATTTAATGATGACACATGTGACTGTCCTGATGCCACATTCCCAGTTTAGAGTCAGGTCCCCTCCTCAAAATCTTGGCAGCAGCCCCCCAAGCGGCCTCCAAGCCTCTAGTCTTGCTCTCACCACCTACTCCATCATCCACCCGCCAATGGAGGGGTGATCTCAACACACAAGCCTGGCCCCCACCCTCCACTGCATGGGTCCTCACTTGGCCTAGGAGGCCGGCTACACCCTGGTACTCGCTTAACTTCTTGCCTAAGCTCAAATAAACCTAAACTACCAGGCCCAACTCCAGCCAGAACAGGTACACGTGGTGTTGAACTACTTTTATCTGAGGAGTCTTTGCTCAAGCTGTCTCCTTTGACTGGAATGCTCTTTCACACCCAGCGTTTCTTTGGGCCACCTACTACTTGTCTTTCAAGACTCACTTCCAGTCAGGTTGCTGGGGGGGTTGCCCCTTCTCCATGCACAGCTCCGTCCTAACATCCAGGTGACTTGATTACTTTAGATGCTGTTTTCAAGCCAACCCCTCCTGCTGCTCATTCACCTCTAGCTCTATCCCCAGAGCACTGGACATACATTACACACCTGGGGGAGATTTGCTTCAATGAACAGAATATAGAGACACTTAGTAAATCTAAAAGGACAAATATATGTTTTTAAAATATACAAAAATATATTTAAAAATAATATGTGCCATAATAATGTGAATTCAGCTATTACATGATTGGCGTTAGGCGACTGTCCTCTTTCCAGCCTACCTAACACCCCATTCTCAGAGTGGGGTGCAGTAATTCTCAGTGTGAGTGTGTGTGTGTGTGTGTGTGTGTGTGTTAGGGATCAATTGCCTCACAATCACTTGGGACTTTCTCAGTTCAATGTAAGATCAATTATACACAGTGGAAGTCTCAAAAGGTTTAATTTTATGACAATACCTACTGATAAAACACTGTTTTTAATTAACTTCATAATAATACAACACCAGGGTTTACAAAATTGAATTTTTAGACTGCATTTACTATGGTGGGGTTCAATGTGTAGTTGTTTGTTTATATAACTTATCCACAGACCACAAGAAAAAAATTTAAAAACAAAAAACTGAATAGGTGCCCAGTCACATGGTTTAGGTCAGGAAGGAAATATGGACTAAAACAATAGAATATTTTGAAATTTATATAAACATATAAATACTGAAGAAATGCTGCTAAAATGGTACACGAAGGAATATGCTTTTTCTATCTATGTGGTAGTTCGAAAATGTAGCGGCCAATAATTCCACTTATTCCATTCTTCTGCCGGGAGCTAGATTCCCTCCTTGTGATCTGGACTGGCCTGTGGCTTCTCTGGGCTTACAGAAGGTGGCAGAAGGACTGCCATGCCAATTTAGGCCTGGCCCTTAGGAGATATGGCTGCTTTTGCACTCTCCTCCTTGTAAGCCTGATGAGAGGGCATACAGAAGGCACTGTGATGGAACTGAGAGGTATGTGCGTTTTACATTTTGTAGATACTGCCAAGTTGCCTTCTAAAAAAGATGGGTTCATTTACATTCCCACCAATAACGAAGGAAAGTACCTGTCTTCCTCACCCTCATTAATAATTGGCATTATTAATCTTTTACATTCTGGCCACTTTGATGGGCAAAAAAATGGGTATCTTGTTTCAACTTGTGTTTAAGGTTGACCCAATCTATGGTTGAAAAAAAGTTGCTTGTTTGAATTTGCATTTCGCTGATTCATGTTTACTAGTCATTTGTATTTCTCTTCTGTGAACTGTCTGTTGATATCCTTTGTCTATTTTTCTATTGATTTATAAGTATTGTTTTATTATCCCTACATTAAGCCATTATCTATCATATGTTACAAATGTTTTCTCCAATCTATTGTATATTTTAACTTTATTTTATGTAGTTTTTTTTTTTTTTTTTTTTTTTGAGACGGAGTCTCACTCTGTCACCTAGGCTGGAGTGCAGTGGAGCGATCTCGGCTCACTGCTACCTCTGCCTCCCGGGTCCAACAGATTCTCTTGCCTCAGCCTCCCTAGAAGCTCAGATTACAGGCACGCATGTCATCACGCCCGGCTGATTTTTGTATTCTTAGTAGAGATGGGGTTTTACCATGTTGGCCAGGCTGGTCTTGAACTCCTGGCCTCAGGTGATCAGCCCACTTCAGCCTCTCGGCCTCCCAAAGTGCTGGCATTACAGGCGTGAGCCACTGTGCCCGGCCCTAGTTTTTAATCTTTTATGGTTAAAAATATCTTTTATAGTTATAAAAATATCTTTTATAGTTAAAAGTATCTTTTATGGTTATATAACAAGATAAAGTTAAAATATACAATAGATTTTGTTGTGTTTTGTTAAAACCTTTGTGTTTTGCATTTTGTTTTAAAAAGAGCTATGCAGCCGGGCGCAGTGGCTCACGCCTGTAATCCCAGCACTTTGGGAGGCCGAGGCAGGCGGATCACGAGGTCAGGAGATCGAGACCATCCTGGCTAACACGGTGAAACCCCGTCTCTACTGAAAATACAAAAAATTAGCCGGGCGTGGTGGCGGGCACCTGTAATCCCAGCTACTTGGGAGGCTGAGGCAGGAGAATGGCGTAAACCTGGGAGGCGGAGCTTGCAGTGAGCAGAGATCGCGCCACTGCACTCCAGCCTGGGCGAAAGAGCGAGACTCTGTCTCAAAAAAAAAAAAAAAAAAAAAGAGCTATGCAATACCCAATTATAAACATAATTCCCAATGTTTCCTTCTATTACTTCTATAGTTTTAAAAAATGTATTAACCTTAAATCCACTTACTTTTATAAAATGATGTGAAGGGAAGATATAATTCATTTTTTTCTGACAGACTAGCTCATTGTCCTTGCACAATGAATGGCCTATCGTTTCCCTACTTTCAGTGGACATCTTTAATATACACCAAGTTCTCAATTAAATATTTAGATTTGGTTCTATACTTTGTATTCTAGTTTATTGATCTATTTGTCTATGCATATGCCAGTATGACACTGCTTTAATTAATATAGCTTTATGAGATACTTTGATAGTTGATAGCGCAGGCTGCCTTTGTTATTTTTCAAAATTTTCTTGGCAGATTTCAGCATTTTATTTTCCAGATTAATTATAGGATTAGCTTGTTTAGTTCTATAAAAATTTTAGATTTTTGATTGGAAACACGACAAATATATATTACCTAGGAGATAATTGACACCTTTACAATACTGATGTGTCCCATCCAAAAACATGGTACATCTCTCCATTAAATCCTATAGTAAAATTTCATTGCTTTCTTCATGTTTTACAGAATATTCCATTTTTACTACGCTAATTTGCATGTCTTTCTGTCTGTATTTTTTAAAGCTATTCTTGAGTTGAAGCATCTGGGCATGTTTTACCCTTAACTCCCTGAAAGTAGAAACAGTCTCTTCTACTTCTTTACTAATCCTTATGGTATTGTGGCCAATGTTGTGCCGTGGCCAGCGGTTAATAAATGTTTGTTACTAACAAACAAGCTGGGCCACAACAAAATATAGAGGCCAGCCTGTCCTTATCTTCTGAGCCTATTTATAATCGACATCTGGCTTACTAAGAGAATTGGTCAGTGGGAAAGACCACAAGGGTCTGGATCTCCCTCCCACCCCCCATATACATACGTACACACACACACACACACACACACACACACACACACACACACACGTACGTCTTTGAGCAGATGAAGCTCACATAGGCACGGACAGCTGGTGTTTTAAAAAGAGAGTTGAAAAAATAAAGTTGACTGATGCTCATCTTTGCCTTAAACCAGTGGGTGACCAGTTCTTCCTTATGGTACCTAAGTTCCTTGGCTGTAAATCAAACTATTTTATAGCTAGTGATTAAACTCAGACTTCACTGTTATTTCCTTTGATTCTCCCTTGTACTTCTCTACCAAATTAGCACAGGACTTGGCACACACTAGATGTTTAGGATATGTTGCCTGAGATTGAGTCCTCACATCTCAGCAAGTTGCAGCAAGTCCTTTCCAGTGAACAAAATGCCCATCAGCAGCTACTCCTCAGCATTTGAAGTTTCTGTCAGATAGGATGCATTGCTTAAAGCAACAAAACCCAACTCTGACTAACTTAAGAAAGGAGTACACAGAAGGACACTGGGGTGCCTACTAAATGGAAAAGAGGCTGGAGAACCAGGCGTGAAATGAGGGCAGGATCCAAGAAAGAAACCAGGGGGCTGTTCCAGGGATGTGCTTTTTACACCATTAGTACCAGTGTCCCCCCACCCTACTCAAAGGTCAATGTCCCAGGAGTACGGCAACTAAAAGGGATGCCTTCAATTTCAGAGTGGGTGGGCGACACACTTTGATTTATTACCTGCATGCAGTGGGAGAGAAGAACTTCCCCAAGGGGAAATTTGTATGCCCTTAGAAAGGAAGAATGAATGCTAGGCAGCCAGAAGGGGACAGACGTCCCCTGAAAGGTTTTGAGCTGGGCTTGTCTTTGATTCAAGAGGCTTCTTTACTGCCCTGATACCCCACGGCCCACATTAAACCATCATGTTCCCATCTAGTTCTTCTGAAGGCTCATCTTTCTGTCCCTGTCCCCAACTCTTGGCATTTCACATACTTCTCAAATGTATTTATTTGAGCATCTGCTTTACCTGCAACACAATGTACATAAGAAACAGGAGAAACAGGTAATCTCCTTAAATGTTGTTTTCTTCTCTCCATGCATCCATTTTCTAAAAGCAAATCTGAGCACACAAAAGGGCTGAAGTGTTTTTTTGTTTTGTTTTGTTTCGTTTTTGCAATGGAGTCTCACTCTGTAGCCCAGGCTGGAGTGCAATGGCACCATCTCGGCTCACTGCAACCTTCACCTCCTGGGTTCAAGTGATTCTGCTGCTTCAGCCTCTGGAGTAGCTGGGATTACAGGCACCTGCCACCACGCCTGGCTAATTTCATATTTTTAGTAGAGATGGAGTTTCACCATGTTGGCCAGGCTGGTCTCAAACTCATGACCTCAAGTGATCTGCCTGCCTTGGCCTCCCAAAGTGCTGGGATTACAGGTGTGAGCCACTGTGCCCGGCCTACTGGAGTTGTTTTTTCAAGAAGACATCTAGGAAAGTAGAGTTTCTAAGACTCCTGGTCAATGATCTTTACTGGTCTTAAAGCACAGTAACACATTTTGAATTCATCACTTTGTCCCCACGACTTTTTTGAGGTAAAATACATATAACATTTTAAAGTCTACAATTCAGTAGCATTTAATACATTCAAAATATTGGGCACTCATCACCTCTATCTAGTTCCAGAATATTTCATCACTGCAAAAGGAAAGCCTGTATGCATGAAGCAGTCACTTCCCATTTTCTCCGTCTCCCATTCCCTGGCAACCACTAATCTGCTCTCTGTCTCTGTAGGTTGACATATTCTGTATATTTCTTATCAACAGAATTATCAACATGTGACCTTTTGTCTTGGGATTTTTCACTTAGCATAATGTTTTGAGAGTCATCCATGCTGCAACATGTTATCAGTAATTCATTCCTTTTTACGGCTGAATAGTATTTCATTGTATGAATATACCACATTTTGTTTATTTTTTCATCAGTTATAGACACTGAATGGTAGGCCCGGTGTGGTGGCTCACGCCTGTAACCCCAGCACTTTGGGAGGCCAAGGCAGGCAGATCACTTGAGGTCAGGAGTTTGAGACCAGCCTGGTCAACATGGTGAAACCCCATCCCTACTAAAAATACAAAATTAGCCAGGCATGGTGGCACACACCTGTAATTCCAGCTACTCGGGAGGCTGAGGCAGGAGAATTGCTTGAACCCAGGAGGCGGAGGTTGCAGTGAGCTGAGATTGTGCCACTACACTAAAGCCTGGGCGACAGAGTGAGACCGTATCTCAAAAAAAAAGAAAAAAGACATTGGATGGTTTCCAATTTTTGGCTATTGTGAATAGCACTGCTGTGAGCATTTATGTACAGGCTTTTGTTTGAACATCTGTTTTCAATTCTCTGGGTTGTGTCCCAGAAGTGGAATTTCTGGGTCATATGGCAATTCTATGTTTAACTTTTTGGGGATACTCCAAACTTTTTCCCACAGCAGCTGTACCATTTTATATTCCCAATCAGGAACATACAAGAGTCCCAATTTCTCCATATCCTCACCAACAGTTGCTGTTGTCCATTGAAAAGAAATTACTATAGCTATCCTAGTGGGTGTGAAGTGGCATCTCTTGGTGGTTTTGATGTGCATTTCCTTTATGACTAATGATCTTGAACATCCCCTTTTGACTTGAGGCCATTTCCTTCTACTCTATCTCTATTTTCATCTCTATGTCTAAAATTAATCACATTTTTTTTTTTTTGTTTTGAGATGGAGTTTTGCTCTTATTGCCCAGGCTGGAGTGCAATGGCGCAATCTCAGCTCGGTGCAATTTCGGCTCACTGCAACCTCCGCCTCCTGGGTTCAAGCGATTCTCCTGCCTAAGCCTCCCATGTAGCTGGGATTACAGGCATGCACCACTATGCCCAGCTAATTTTGTATTTTTAGTACAGACGGGGTTTCTCCATGTTGGTCAGGCTGGTCTTGAACTCCCGACCTCAGGTGATCCACCCGCCTCGGCCTCCCAAAGTGCTGGGATTACAGGCGTGAGCCACCGCACTTGGCCACACTTTTTTTAAAAAATGAATTAGTTGATAAATATATACTATCAGTCTCCTGTTTATCTCCCAGTGGTTCGTTCAAAGAATCAACTGATAATAAAACTGGCAATAGTTAAAACTGCATGTGGTAAATTGAATACTGGGATTGTCTAAAAATTGACAGAAGAATCTAGTTTTCATAAAAACATTTAGACCTGTAAAATTGAACTTAGAGAATTGGACTTGGTGGAACTAACAGCCGCAAGAGAACTTGCTATAGCAGAAGCTATGGTCATAATATATGACACGGACAAAAAAACGATTAATGACTCCAGTCTTTGTAGTAAATTTAAATGGAAAACAACCCTGATGAAGATAAAATTTAACTGTATTGTATTAAAAAAAAACTCATCATGGAATCGAATTGGCTCAGCAGACTTTGTTTTAGAAAATATTTTCCCAAAGAAAAATTCTTTAATGTTAGCCTAACTCTGATGAAAATATTTATATTCAAAATGTCACTGGGTTCAACCCCTCCTGCATTCAATGGGAACGCAGGAGGCTAGAATCCGACTGGTATTCCGTTCCTGCATGTTCCTCCTTCCCAGCCCAACCCAAGACAAGAGACTTGAGACCAATAAATGTGACGATATGAGCTGAAAAGTAAGGAACTGGGTGGAGAAGAAGATCCCAAATGTGGTGATGGCTCAGGGGCTGTGGAGGGGAAGGCTGGGCAGGCCACTTGCTGAGGAGCTCCGTGGGGGTCCTCTGAGTAGTCTGGCTTCTCCTCCTTAACAAGGCAAGAGTAAGGCTCATGATTTCACAGATTAAAAAGGAATGAGAGGAAATAGTTACCGTGCTCTAATTTAGCTGCAAGAACGAGATACATGCTAAGGCAAATGCCACTGGAATCTTACTACAGCAAAGAAATTATGTCACCCGGAGTGAAACCTGGGGCCTCTCCCTTTGCAACTTCAGAAACATTAAGGATGTCCCCCCAAGCTCTTTAACAAAGGAAGTCAAGGATGTTTGAGGTACTAATCTCAGTGGTTCTAGCATCAAGAATTTATTTACCTTTTTTCTTTGAACACGGCATAATAAATAAAACTGCTATTTTATTTATCTATACAGCACTTCATAGTTTTTCAAAGTCCTTTTTAAAATGATCTCATTTGCCTTCAATGACAATTTTGTGAAATGGGCAGATACTGTTAACCCCACTTTACCACAGGGATCCTGAGGCTAGGGAGTTCATGGCTTGGCCACATTCACACTGCTAGTCAAGAGCAGGGTTGAGACTTCAACTGGGGCCTTGGCCACTGCGTCCAGGGCTTATTTGGATGATAAAACAAACATGATAAGGACAGACAGATGCTTTCATTCTAGAGACTCCTATGAGTCTATTAGTCATCCTTTAAAAATATTAGTTATCTAGAACCAATGTGATGAGACCAAACATATCTGGAGTCGTCAACAGCCAACCTCTACCTTTAAAAATATATCAAATTAGCATGTATATATTCTGATGCTGGCCATTTTAAAGGTTATCTTGAACTAGGGGCTTTTCAGCAACACGGAGAACCCTGGTAGATATTCCTGATAGAAATCTGTTTATTGAGGAGCTGGTCAACGTGGGCTTCCAAGCCAGAAGCTGGCACTAAACAGGAGAAAGGGTAAAGAGACCAAGTTCTGGGGCTCAGGCAAGTACTAAACAACACTAGTCACAACAAAGGGGGATCACTCAGGAGTAACTCCCTCTTCCCCTCTTCCTGCTTTAACTTTTTTTTTTGAGACAGAGTTGCCCAGGCTGGAGTGCAGTGGCGTGATCTCTGCTCACTGCAGCCTCCATCTCCCGGGTTCAAGCGATTCTCGCACCTCAGCCTCCTGGGTAGCTGGGGTTACAGGCGCACGCCACCATGCCTGGCTAATTTTTGTATTTTTAGCAGAGATGGGATTTCACCATGTTGGCCAGGCTGGTCTTGAAGTCCTTACCTCAAGAGATCTGCCCACCTCGGCCTTCCAAAGTGCTGGGATTAACAGGTGTGAGCCACAGTGCCTGGCCGTTCTGTTTTTATAGTGGGGTCACATGTCGCCCGCAGCTTGGTTCTCAAGTTAAAAGGCGAAACTGTCAGGCTGGGTGTGGTGGCTCATGCCTGTAATCCCAGCAATTTGGGAGGCCAAGTGGGAGGACTGCTTGAGGCCAGGAGTTTGAGACCAGCCTGGGTGACATAGGAAGACCTCATCTATACCAAAAAATTAATTAATTAATTAATTAATTAGCTGGGTGTGGTGGCACATGCCTGTGGTCCCAGCTATTTGGGAGGCTGAGTTAAGAGGATCACTTGAGCCCAGGAGGTCAAGGCTGCAGTGAGTTATGATCGGGCCACTGCACTCCAGCATGGGTGACAGAGTAAGACTCTGTCCAACAAAAAAAAAAAAGTGAAACTAAACTATTAACTATAATAAAGTTATGCCCTGAGCATCCCTTAGTAACACACTGTCTCTGGGCAAAGGGAGCCAGGCAGTTCTCCCTCAGTGCCACGAAGATGGCTGGGGCTGTGGATAAGCACAGATGGCACTGGTGGCTTGAGGTTAAGGCCATGTTGTGAAACAAAGGAAATGGAAAACAAAAACACATCTTTAAACGTGAAGATACAGTAAGGTGCTCTCTCTCGCAGGAGAGACACACAGGCCCTGGTACCAGCAGAGGTGACGTGAGGCTCCCAGATCACACACAGGGGGGGCCTGTGCTCCTTTGAATGGAGAAGCTGGCAGAAGGGTCAGCACAAATAAGGTGGTGTGTGTATGTGTGTGTCTGTGTGTGTGTGGGGGTCTCTCTCTCAATCTGTAGAGTTGAATTTGCATAAGTTAAATGTACATATGTAACTCCATTATATATTAGAAAGCATATCAAGATAATAGCTAACTATATTGTAACGTTAAAAAAAAAGAAGAAATTCATCTTTAATTTATCACCTGCCTAAATTCCAAAGCATCAGGTACAAGAAGGAATTTCAAGCACAGAGAAGTGTTTTTGCTGGATTCTGTTGGGCAAACACAGCCACCTCCAGTATTTGCCTGGAACTTACTCTAGAGGTTTATTTAAAAGGTCATCCAGCAAAATGAATGGCTATCTTCTCCAGGGCTTGTGACCATAAAATGTCAGGTCCACAGGTCTTTCAGTAGAGCTTGAGGAAAAGAACTGCTAACATAGCACGTGAGTGGAAGCCTCACAAGTCCACAGGCTCTGACTGTTCCTAACACAGGCTGCTCAGCTCTACACACCGGCTGTGTCACTTTACACTCTGCCCTCAGACTCCCCTCTCTTTCTGCAAAACCCAAGTCCAAAGGGACTCTTCAGCCACTGAGGCAAAACGCAGAGGTGTTACATCATCCTGGGAAGCCCTCCCAAGAAGAAAACTCTCTCCATCAGGGCTACAGAGACCTGCTGCGTGGCTGCTCCAGACAACTGCACACTCAAATGGCTGGTGATGTCCTCTGCTGGCTGCGTGCTGAAACTCCGGTCAGATTCTAGTTAGGTGCCAAGACTGTTAGGAGACATAGGCTCGGGATGTTTCCTCAGTTTCCAGAGAGAATGCCCATCTTCACAGGCCCTCCACTCTGCTTACTTGAGTGCACACACTCAAGGGAAGAAAAGCAAATTTTTCATTTCAGAAAAAAATATTTGTCCACTGAGAAAAAAAGGTGACCTTTACTCTGACAAACAGATTTGTTTTCAGAGTGACAACATGGACTGAGGATGCCCAACTAGGAGTGTGCTGCTGGCACCTGGGGCCAAACCAAAGATGTTATCAGGTCCGAACCTGCCTCTACCTATATTTTATTTTGGCTCTTATATATTGATTTAATAAAATTCAACAAATACGAGTGCTGTGAGGCATACAGAGATTAGAGCCGGACACAGTGACCGCCCTGGTGGCATTCGTAATCTGAAGGTAGGATGCATGATGAATACACAGGCAGCTACTGTCACAGACAGGAGCGGTGGGCAATGGGGTCAGAGAGATAGAATAGGATGATACTATGGGGAGACAATCATGAGGCTGAGAAGTACCAATTTCACTTAGTGCATCATGGGGAGTACCAAGATCTCAGAGAGGAGAGATATTTCTGAGCACCAAATCTCTCCATCAGGAGCTGGGTGAGTCATGTCTCTAGTTTATTTATTTACTTATTTTTAGAGACAAGGTCTTACTCTGTCACCCAGGCTGGAGTGCAGTGGTACAACTACGGCTCACTGCAGCTTTAACCTCCCATGCTCAAGCAATCCTCCCATCTCAGCCGCCTGAGTAGCTGGGACCACAGGCACATGCCACCATGCCCAGTTAATTTTTTTTTGTAGAGACAGGGTCTTGCTATGTCGCCAGGGCTGGTCTTGATCTCCCGGGCTCAAGCAATCCTCCCACCTCAGCCTCCCACAGTGCTGGAATTATAGAAGTGAGCCATCCTGCCCGGCCTTCTAGCTTAATCTTCACAATTCTGAGCAATGGTGTCTTCCCCGTTTTAAAAATGAGGAAAAAAAAAGAAAAAAAAAAAGCTAGGATTAGAGGACAGGTCTCTGATTCAGTCCAAAGCGTTCCTTACTTTATCACACTCAAGACTCATCAACTCCCCCAACCAGAAGTTAAAATAACAGCTTTGTGCCTATTTTCTCCTGTCTGATCAACTGTCAAAATGTTCTATATTAAATAATGTTTCTTCAAATTGAAAACTGAATTTGTTGGAGCTTCTCTACAGTGGTCTTCACAGGTCTTTGAAAAAAAACATTTCTTTCGTTTTGCATGTTTCTCACAACTGTAACTGACTTCTTGTTAGAGGAGTTTTTTTCTGCAGAAGATACATCTGGGGGCTAATTAATTTGAATATTCACATTTAATTATCTCTAAGATAAGGCCAGAATGTTAACAAAATCATACTGAATATCTCCCCAAAGATCCAGGAGAGCGATGACAGTGAGAGCAAGAGAGGATGGAAGTGCTTCTAGAAAGGTGACAGGTGTTTGATTTGGGGATACATTTTTACCCTACTTTCATGGGTGAGAATAAACCCAGGAGGACAAGCATCAGTGGTGGGGGAAACACTGGGAGTGAAGCTTTGTGGCAGCTCCACGAGTCTGCAAACTGAGTTCCAGGCCTTCCTGTGTGTGCACATGTGCATGTGCATGCATGTGTGTGCACACAGGAAAGGTAAGGAAGCCGGCAAGGGCCAGAGTTTAGGAGAACATTTTGTCAGTTCTTTTCCAGATCCTGAACTGCCAGAGCCTCCCTGCTCCACAGGCCTGGAAGCCAGGGCCCTTGCTGCTCCTACCACAGACACCTCTGGTTTCTTTTCTGGCCTATCTACCCCTAGCCTGGTGGACCTGAAGCCAGCAGGTCAACAGCAGGTCCTTCGTGAGCCCATCCCACTGGGCTTCACCCTTCTCCACTAGGACACAGCCCCCACTGGAAGCCCTTCTTTTCAGGAGGGCCAGATGTGGAGTAGACCCTGTGTGCACATCTCACCAGTCCTACTGGGGAGGTAAGGCTGAGGCTGGGAAAGGGCTTCCTCATTAGCTTCAGGAACAAACACCTTGGGCCTTTCATCTCAAAATGGCAGCAACATATTCAGCTTCCCAAACACCCATTAATAGGCTCATCAGAAATCCACTTTGAACACAGCATTTTCCCCTCACTGGAGGCAAATTCTTCTCCACAGCTGTCACACATTACATTTTCACTGTTGTTGCTAAATGCTCTATTCCTGAATTGCAGGATCTGCACAGGAAAATTCCAATGCAGAGACTGTTTCTGCCTGAAATGACCAAAAGTGGCCTGAGGAAACAAAAGAGCAATCCTCTTCCGTTCCCGAACTGGTTTCTAAATACAGGACGGAGGCCACTGGGCCAGGCTGGTACATCTGTGACCTTTGTGCATATCGTGCAAACTATAAAATATGAATGTTAGGAGAACAGCCCCATGAGTTACAATAAAACCACTTAAAAAGAAACTACTTTTTTGCTCCAAGGAAAAATAAATGTGCTTTTCTAAAGTTCAAAGAAAACCAGTTAAAACCCCTCAGAACTGTATCCACATGTTAAATGCATCTGATCCCACTATCTTCCTGTTCACAAACAGCACGCGGAACTGGTCACATCCTCCCTAGGCACACCAAAGCACAGTCCTCTCTCCTCACGTTGCATTTCAACCTGGTTTTGACACCATGCTTTAAGTAGGGAGGCAGTTTATTAAGAAGCTCCAGAGTTCCAGTCTCCAGGGTTCCACTGGAACCCTGGATCCGTTAGAGAACTGGTCCTGCAAACAGCCAGTCAAAGATTAGTGACCTAACTTTAGGAGAAGGCACCACTATTCCCAGACCTGGGCTGCCAAGGTGCTAAGTGCAAAGTTCCCAGACTCACTCTGTGCTAACCAAACAGGATGTACGCTGACGCTCAGAACACAGAGCACCCGTGTCTTGTCCCCATCTGCCTAGTCACCTCTCTCCTGAGGACATGCACATAGATGCCAATGGTCTGCTCTTTGTCCAACACAGTGCCTTTTGGCTACTTCCCAGGCCAAGGCTACCTCAAAATCTGTGCCAGCGTTATGGGGAGGGAAGATTAGAGCTGGAAAATCACATTATATTTGCCACTATTCCTAGTGGAGGAAAACTCAAATACCTAAATGTGAAGCCCCTGGATTACCTACACAGAATGCTCTTTTAAGAACACGCTAATCAACTAGGAGCTGCGCTGGCTGGAGAGCAATGTTATAGAGCGGAGAGAGTGAGGAGGCTGCACCTGGCTCCCGATATCACAGCCATTGCAGTACAATGAGCTCCATAGAGATAGCACTGGGGCAAGTGAGAGCCAGATGGGCACTGGGCAATTCTGTGCCTTGCTGAGGAAAAATAACTAAACATGGGCAAAGGAGACCCTAAGAAGCCAAGAGAGAAAATGCCATCATATGCATTTTTTGTGCAAACTTGTAGGGAGGCACATAAGAACAAACATCCAGATGCTTCAGTCAACTCCTCAGAGTTTTCTAAGAAGTGCTCAGAGAGGTGGAAGACCATGCCTACTAAACAGAAAGGAAAATTCGAAGATATGGCAAAGGCAGACAGGGCCCATACGAAAGAGAAACGAAAACCTGTATCTTTCCTAAAGGGGAGACAAAAAAGACGTTCAGGCTGGGTGTGGTGGCTCACGCCTGTAATCTCAGCACTTTGGGAGGCTGAGGCGGGTAGATCACCTAAGGTCAGGAGTTCGAGGCCAGCCTGGCCAAGACAGTGAAAGCCCGTCTCTACTGAAAAAAAAAAAAAAATTGCCAGGCATGGTGGCGGGCGTCTGTAATCCCAGCTACTCGGGAGGCTGAGGCAAAAGAATCGCTTGAACCTGGGAGGCAGAGGTTGCAGTGAGCTGAGATTGCGCCATTGCACTCCAGCCTGGGCAACAAAAGGGAAACTCCATCTCAAAAGAAAAAAAAAAAAGTTAAAGGATCCCAGTGCACCCAAGAGGCCTCCTTCGGCCTTCTTCCTGTTCTGTTCTGTCCTGTTCTGTTCTGTTCTGAGTATCGCCCAAATATCAAAGGAGAACATCTGGCCTGTCCACTAATGATGTTGCAAAGAAACTGGGAGAGATGTGGAATAACATTGCTGCAGATGACAGGCAGCCTTATAAAAAGAAGGCTGCGAAGCTGAAGGAAAAGTAAGAAAAGGATATTGCTGCATATCGGGCTAAAGGAAAGCCTGCTGCAGCAAAAAAAGGGAGTTGTCAAGGCTGAAAAAAGCAAGAAAAAGAAGGAAGAGGAGGAAGATGAGGAAGATGAAGAGGATAAGAATGAGGAGGAGGAAGATGAAGATGATGATGAATAAGTTGGTTCTAGTGTAGTTTTTTTTCTCGTCTATAAAGCATTTAACCTGTACATAACTCACTCCTTTTAAAGAAAAAAACTGAAATGTAAGGCTGTGTAAGATTTGTTTTTAAACTGTACAATGTCTTTTTTTTTTTGTATAGTTAACACACTACCAAATGTGTCTTTAGATATCCCTGTCCTGGTGGTATTTTCAATAGCCACCAACCTTGCCTAGTACAGTATGGGGATTGTAAACTGGCATGGAAATTAAAAGCAGGTTCTTGTTAGTGCATGGCACAAATTAGTTATATATGGGGATGGTAGTTTTTTCATCTTCAGTTGTCTCTGATGCAGCTTATATAAAATGACTGTTGTTAAGTGAATACCACTCTGTAATTGCAAAAAAAAAAAAAAAAAAGAAAAAGTTGTAGCCATTTTGTTGACATTCTGAATGCTTCTAAGCAAATACAATTTTTTATTAAAAATAAATAAAGAAAGAACACACCAATCAAGAGATGACTTTAAGGATTAAAATGCTGACATTTGACATCAGCATTTGTACTACATCTTGCCTTTCTTTGATGTGCAGAAAACAACTCATAAAATGGCAAGCAATGATGTTAGGAAAAAGTAGGTTCTACAAATATTTAATGAAAATTATGTTTCTTTTGTCAGTAATTATATAGATCATTACTAATAAGCCATACTCAAAACTTGACCCCATTCTTGCTCCCAGGGAGTTCACAATCAAGAAAAGGAGATAAGAAAACTTTATAATGCTCTTTCGGGCTCAAAGACTTGAATAAATGAACTTGCACTGGAAAACTTGGCATCACAAACATGTCAATTTTCCCTAAATTACCTATAAACTTAAGAGATACACAATAAAAATAATAAGATTTTTATATGTGGAATTAAACAAGCATTCTAAAGTTCATTTGGAAAAATGAACCAGCTATAATAGCCAAGAAAAGTATGAAAACAAGCAGTGCTGGGGTATGAGCATCGCCCCACTGCCCACAGCAAAACATAGTACAAAGCTGCAATCTGCTGATGGTATATGTTCAGGACCATCAACAGAACACAAAAGACTGGAAATATGCCTAAATACATCCAGGAAATTTAGTTGGTGAAAAAGGTGGCATTTGAATAATGGGGTAAAGATGGATTGTTTAATAGTGTTGGACAAAGTGTAGCCGTCTTGAAAAAAATTATGTTGGAGCCACACCTCACACCAGGATAAATTCTGGAAGGATGAAACATTTCAAAATAAAAATGAAATCATTCATATGCTAGAAGAAATTCTAGGCTTTTAAAAATAATCTTGCAGTGAAGAAGACCTTTCTAAGGAAACCAGAAATCCCAGAAGCCACAAAAGAAACAATTGAAAAATTTAATTATGCAAACATTAAAAAAAATTATGCGGCCGGGCGCCGTGGCTCACGCCTGTAATCCCAGCACTCTGGGAGGCTGAGGCGGGAGGATCACGAGGTCAGGAGATCGAGGCCATCCTGGCTAACATGGTGAAACCCCGTCTCTACTAAAAATACAAAAAAAATTAGCCGGTCGTGGTGGCAGGCACCCGTAGTCCCAGCTACTCAGGAGGCTGAGGCAGGAGAATGGTGTGAACCCAGGAGGCGGAGCTTGCAGTGAGCCGAGATCACGCCACTGCACTCTAGCCTGGGTGACAGAGCGAGACTCTGTCTCAAAAAAAAAAAAAAAAAAAATTATGCATGGCAAATACCACTATGGGCAAAGTCAAAAGACAAATGACAAACTGAGAACAAATATTTGCAATTCATATCACAAAGGGCTAATTTCCCTAGTACATAAAGAGCTCCCTCAAATGATTAGGAAAAAGACCAATGACCATCAGAAAAATGGTTAGAGGCCACCAACAGGCAGTGAACAGAAAAGGAAATAAAAAGAGTTCTAAAATATGAAAAGATACACAGTCTCTTTAATCAAAGAAAGACTAATTAAAACCACAGTGAGAAAACATTTTTCACCTACCAGATTGGCAAATATCAAAAAGTAGAACTCCTGATGTTGGCAACGTTTTGGGGAAATGTGCTCACAGTGCTGGTGTGGAGAGGCTTGAGGACAACAGCTAGCAAAATTTTCCATGCACATCCCCTTTGACCCAGTAGTTCCACCTCTAGGAGTTTATCCTATACTGACAGGTGCGCATCGTGATGAAAATACAGAAGCATTCAATGCAACATTGTGAAAGCAAAAGATTACAAATAAAGGAAACCTCTATCTAGGAGACTGGTTAAACAAACTATTTTTTTATGGAATACGAAGCAGTCAAGACATAAATGGAGGAAGCTCTTTCAGCACTCCTATGGACAAATCTCTGAGTGATATTTCACAAAGAAAAGATGGAAGGATAAACAAGAGCCGACTGACAGCAAGGGCAACACGGAGGGTACAAGGTCATAGGTTCTACTGGCTGATAAAAGAACCTCTGGGAAATGCAGCCAGGCTTCTTGACCAGGGTGAGCCTTGAGCACAAATGTAAGAGGAAGGAAATGATGCAGCTGCCCTGGAGCTTTCCGTCAGAGGAACAGTTACAAAAAGCTGATAGAAGCCACTGTTGATGGCTGTGGGTTAGCCCTGTTGAAATGGCAGCCCTCCCCTACGGTATGTGGGCACAGGAAAACATTTTCTCAGATGGTCAACAACTCCATCCTTGAGAAACCCCAGCTTAGGCACCAGACCTTCATCTTGTCCACAAAGTGAGAGAGCGCCACCAAACCATGCAGATAAGCATGTTCTAGAAAGTCCTACTAAAGCAAAGTCCATCTCTCTTTACATATAAAGGACAAATGCAAAGGACAGTGCTGGTGTCACTGCTTATTATTAGGAATGAACAAGATAATGGCTTTCAAAACTATGAAAGATGAAATGCATATTCAGAGTCCTCTTAATTTCATATCAATTTGAAATAGCTATAAGAAATTAGAAGCTTAAAAATCACCCATATCCTCACAAGCCTTGCAAAAATATTCTCATTTTTGTTTCCTTTTCATCTATATCTATCTGAAAGCAGAGTATTTACATAGTTACAACAATGGTGCTCAGATAGAGATATATAATTGTCTTCTGCTTTTTTCACTTATTCTCTATTTTTATAGATAATTAGTATGCTAAGTTCTGAACGTCTGCATAAAATTCTATCCTGTTTATTAGCTATAGTTAAGGGAGGGAGCAAACATTTATTTAGCCCCTTCTATGGGCATGTTACATAATTCAATTTGTCCCTTACAGCGATTCTTATTATTAGGACCCCCTTTACAGACAGAAACTGAGTGTCCAACAGCCTACTGCACAGCGGACCCTGCATTTGAACTCTGTGTGTGTCTGACCCGACAGCTCTTTCTTTCCCCTGCATTATCTTGCTGCTGCCTCCATTGTTGGATGCTGCTATTCCCAGTTTTTACTATAATAAACAATGCCAGCAAAACATCTTTACATATTTTGTTTTCATCTTTCTTGAATTTTTTTTTCATGTTTTTCAACTCCTGTTTAAAAAGTCCAACAGGATGCCTCATCTGTCTCCTGACTCCTGCCCCTGAGAGATGACTATTCTTAACTCCTTTAGTCGTCCCTACCATCCCACACTTGCCTTTATTTCTTAATGCCATGCTTATCCTGCTTATGCTGGTTCTTCAATTTCAGTTTTCAATAGCACCTATTGAACTTCCTACTCTGGAGGGTGCTAGCTCTCTTACGTCTCTCCTAAGACTTACATTTTCCCCTCGCCCATTCTTTTCAACACTGTTACAGCAACACTTATGGTTAATTTTCAGTGTTTATAAAATTATAATTATGGAAATATTAGCCACAAAGAAGTCATATGTTGTATTCTTTTTTGTGAAATTTTTTATTTTCCCTCAAGTTATCACTTTTATCATTTCCTCATCAGCTTAGTTTTCTATGTGCCAATCATCAATTTGTCTCCAGACTCTAGGGGACCTGTTAGTCTCTCAATAGTCAGAAACCAGTTTTGCTTTTTCTTGGACACACCACTGAGGAGTCCCTGTGCCTGTTCCCCTCTGGAAGGGCTTCCCATCCTGCCCCTTCACCTCTCTGCTGGGTCCTAGATCCCAAGGCCACACCAGATGCTATCAGACAACAGAGAAGAGAACCATAAATGTCCAGAAAGCATTCATCAGAAAGAAGGTGATTATGTTCTCTCAAATAAAGAGGCTGTGTGGAGGTATGAAGGGATTCCAGGTAGAAGGCATTGCAAATGTAAGACATAGTCAAGAGAGAACATGCAGTATGAGAAAATGTGGAGAGATCTGATGTGTCTAGAACACAAGGAATATAGGGAAGAAGGAGCGAGGGCTGATGCTGGACCTCGCCCTACAGACAGTGAGGAGCCACTTGGTTTAAAGCAGGGGCATGGCATGATGAATTTGTGCTTTAGGAAGATAATTTGGTGGCCTGCAAGATCAATTAGAAAGGGTAGAGAATGGAGGGAAAGCTATTGCATTCTTCCAGGTGAAAGCTGATGACGTCCTGCAGTGAAGCAGAGGCACTGAAGGAGAGATGGAGTGAAGGACAGAAGGAAGGAGGCCCACGTGACACAGGCTGCTGCCTGTGGCCATGATTATTCTCCTCTTCTCTGGACACAGGTGTGCTGCTTCTCAAGTTAGGCATGGGCACGAGCCTTGCTTTAAACCAGGGGTGTCTAATGTTTTGGCTTCCCTGGGCCACTTTGGAAGAATTGTCTTGGGCCACACATAAAATACACTAACACTAATGACAGCTGATGGACTAAAAGAAAAAGAAAATCACACAAAAAATCTCATAATATTTTAAGAAAGTTTATGAATTTGTGTTGGGCTGCAATCAAAGCTGTCCCAGGCCACATGCAGTCTGTGGGCTATGGGCTGGACAAGCTCTCAAGCTTGTCCAACCTGCCTTATTTTGTTGTTATTGTTCTGTTTCTTTTGTAGGCTTTTAGCAGCCTAAAGCCATGGTTTGTAGTTTCTGTCTCTAGTGATAAGCAAAAAACAGGGATGAGGAAGGGGCTTTACCGGACCAACCAGAAACAGAAACTGAGAACCCATGACTGTATTATCTCCCTTGGACACCCAAACCAATGAAATGGGAAAGGAAATGACCAAGTGCCATTTCCGGTAGCAGCCTGTAAGAGCCAGTGTGTGAGGTGTGACATTGCTCTTCCTGGCTCGGTGATGACCACGGAAGCAGGTGTTGAGATGTCACCTCCATCAGCTGGGGTCCTGGTGGGATGACAATCAGCAGAGCCCTCCTGCCCATTGAAATAAACACGTAGCATGAGTGAGAAATAAACATTTGTGGCTTTAAGATGTGCAGGTTTAGAGGTAATTAGTTACCACAGTATAAACTAGTTTACTTCGACTAATACGATGTCCAACTTAATATAATTTTGACAATATTGCCATATTTTCCTCTGAATATCAAATAATATTTCATGTTTTAAGGCTTCATTGTTACCAAGTCTTAACATTATGAGGTGCTTATTACATGTATTTCCTTATGTGGAATTTATCTAGGCACATCTTTTACCCACTTACCCACTGATGTCCTACTGACATTCAGGTGTGCTTGTGTGACCTTCGTGTACATTATGTCTTTTGCTATTTGTACAACTGATCTAGCTGATAATATTAAAATAAAAATAGCTACAATAATAGCAGCTATATTTACTGAACTCTTACACATGCCAAGTATCCTATAAATCATCTTACATGCTGTTCTTTTTTTTTTTTTAATCAGCATACTGAACCTATGAAATAAGTGCTATTATACCCATCTTACAAATGAGGAAATAGAAGCTCGGCAAGGTGAAGCCACTGGCCAGCAGGGGGCAGGGCTGGCATCTGAGCCCAGGTGGGTCTCACTGCTGATCTGGACTCTGGATTCCCGGGGGGCAACAGCTCGCTAACTTCACCCTCTCACTTGGGCCCCTGGATTTACCCTCTCAATCTTAGGGGAAAAACCTTCAATCAATTTGGCTTTCTCCTCCAGTTTCCATTTTTTCTCCTTCCTTCTCTGGTGTTTGTTTCCTGACTCACTTCTTTGGTTGCTATTGTGCTGACCTGTTTATTCACCTCACTCCTGAAAACACATTCTCAAAAATCCCTGATCCTTTCTGGCCAAGGTAGATGGCCTTTGGTCAGCCCTCATTCTTCCTGAGTTTCTGACACCCTCTTCAATGTTTTCCTTCTCTGGCTGCCATGGAACTGGAGGCTGCTGGTTCTCTCCCTACCTTTCTTACTGCCTGTCTCTGTCTCTTCCACCCTAGCCATGGCCTGCCTCAGCCATCAGTCTTTAGTGTCTCTCTCTGCCCACCCCCACAACCTCCCCTACCTGCAGCTGATCTGGAATCTACACATCTGGTCTTGAGCTCCCACCTAAGTTCTAATGCCATAATTGCACATAACCCTGTGCACATCCTGTGGACAAGCCCCAAGCTAAACAACTTTCCTTGAGAAAGCAGCTTCCCCATTAGACTTCCCTATTTCTGTCAATGATTCTATTCTCTCAACCGCTCAGTAACCTCAGCATAATCTGTGATTCAGCCCTTTCCTCTGATGCCCAAGGCCATTCCATTACCCACCAATACCACTGATTCCACCTTAGAAGACCTCTGGAATTTGTCCCATCCTTCCCTTTCCAACCACCTACCACCAGTGCTCACAGGATCAAGCCCAAACTCTTCCTCTCTGGGAATTAGAGACTCCTCGTGATCTGATCTCCTCTTCCTCCCCCCCACAGACCATAGGGCTCTCTGCTACAATCAAACAGCTCTCAGCTCACCAGATCGTGGCATAGGGACCTGGTGAGGAGCTGGCCACGAAGCAACTATAGAGACCAGACCAGTGATGGGGCCCAAAACCCATTAGCAAACAAAATCAAAGGGCACAGTGAGCAAAGGGCAGACTGGGTAGCAGGGCCAAACATGATGCAAGCAGCACCAAGATCATTTTTGGGAGTTACAAGAGAGACAATCAAAGTCTAGCCAAATGAAGATCCATGGAATTAGGAGACAAGAATAGAGTAGCTGTGGTGACGGCAAAGCATTGACAACGTGGATATGTGTCAATGGCAGCAAGGCCTCTACCACCTTCTTATCCTGCTGACTGGTTGGAAGGCCCACAGGACAAAAGGACAAAGGTGGATGGGTGAAAAGTGTTGGCCTGGGCAGCAAAGCCAGTTTTCTGCCATGAGTGCTTGTTTAAATAATTGATTTTACTGGTTCATGCTCACACCAACATCTGTGCCTTCTCTCCTATTGTCCCATCTATCCAAAGCCAACTAATCTTTCAGGATTATGGAAGACCTCATCAGTCAAGCCACCACAGGAATATCCCCTCTTTCTCTAAATTCCTTTATCACTTACCTGAATTACTCACTCTGTCAATCACATGTTCCTACCAAAAGACTCTACTGAAGTTAGTGTGTACTGACTCTACAAGAAGCAGCAACCACAGGGAAGACAGAGAATTTTTAAGACAGTCTCTGTCCTTAAGCCTCTCAGAATACACTTGAGGTGTGACGAGAGATACATATGTGGAAAGTTATTGTTTCCATCCCTGTCCTTAGGTAAGAGCCAATGAGACAGAGACAGGTAAAAGTCAGGAGCTACTAGAAGAGCTACGATTTGAGAAGGCCTGAGGATTCTGACAGACAGAGAAGGTGGAAATGTGAGAAAAAGTATTGTGTGTGATATAGAAGGGGCTGAGTATGGTGTACAGACGGTGAACAGACTGGAAGAGCAGGTTACTAAATATTACTAATTGACTAATTTTTAAAATATACATATATATATATATATATGTGTATATATATATATGTATATATATATATTCACTGAGAAGAATCTTCCTTTATTCAAATCCCAAGGAAGGAAAAGTCCATACTGCTGTGGCTTGGCAGGTGTCAACATTTTAAAAAGCATTTATGGAGTTTCTCACTTTACATCAGTAAGAAATTACTGTTCAAGCTTTTGTGATCTGGCTGAAAACACCAGTTCAGGGTCTTGCCAGCAGGAGGATTTGGTGCTACATATCACAGGAAAGTCAGGTTGGTCATGGCAATGGCATTAGTACTCAGTGGAAGGGTAGAAAAACATATAACCTGCTGTTTCTCACAAATCTCTCCCTTCCTGGGAGGCTACAGATGGTTCTGGATCAACCACTGATCTCCAGGCAGGGTTCCCAAATGTTTTGGATTACAGACTCTTATAATGGCTACCTCAGAAGTTAAGCCATCTGGTTTGATGCCATGCACCCACGCTGACCCAGAGCCCTCACTCTATGATTAGAAACTGACAGCAGGTAGAGTTAGGGTGGTTCACAAGCTGCCACAATGGCTGACTCATTTCCATGGCTCACCGTGATACTACACTGCAGGCAGCTACCTCAGGCAGATGGAGGGCCTCTGAGGAGTACCCGGCCCTTGGTACTTGGTAGAGGGCACTTCTCAGTCTGACTACTGACAGTCATGGGGTAGCAAACAGCAATGGCATCTCATCCAATCATGCATAAAATCAAGTCTTCAAGGACTACAGCCTTCTGTATTAGTTATAGCTTTCTAGAATTTCATGGAGGGGTAGATTTCCTTATAAACTCAGGAAAATGCTTTCCTTAAGTAAACATTACACCATCTAATAAATTCTGACCCTAAAGCTCAGGATCCCAAACAGACTCCATTTGCAGGGAAGTATTCTTGATGCTGCTGAAGAAGACTGGGCTTCTAAAGCCAGTCACTTCACTCACTGTTGCTTCAGACAAAGAAAAGCGTAAACAGCCGTCAGCTCTTCACTCTCCACATCACTGCATGACACTGGCACTGAGAGTTTAGGAAAAATTCTTACTTACCCTCCAGAATATATTTTCCAAGTCAGTTTACTGTCTTAATTTTATTTTACCATAAAGTATATACTATTTTGTAGTACAAAGTGTACTATCATAGTGAAGGAGGGCATGCTGAGAAGCAGGCAGAGAAAAAGAACAGTGGAGATCAAAATTGGCAACCTCTGAATTCACAGGGTCAGTAAAACATGAGAGGCTGATAAAAGTTGGCTATCCTTAGAAATTCGAGACTTTCTAGAAAACAAGGTCCATTTCCTGCTCCCGGATAGTGGAGCAATTTTCAGTCAACCACACATTGAGAAGGAGTATAAAAGTAGATCTGATTCCATGTAAGTCCTGTAAAGCAAATGAGGTGTAAGCTAAAAGTTAAGGATGAATGGTGAACCAAGGTGGATTCTGAAATCGAGTCTGGGAAGGGGTGACACAGAGGGGTGACTCAAAACAGGACCTTACACGTGGAGCCAAGGCCCACTTACCGTCCACATGTACTGAATTTGATACCACGTGATGGAATCAGTTGTAGCATATACTTCCTTTTGGAAGACATATACTCCTTTTTTGGAGACATAGTAGGGCCCTGAAGAGTAAACTCAGGTATGATGAATAGGGCGGTATAAGGGTCATACATTTTTGGAAACCAGAATTGGTTGTTTTAAAGAATGCTCGGCACATAAAGGATGAGCCTTTTTCCATCTGAACTAAATCACGGGAGTCTTGACTATTTTGGATTCCGAACCTTTTTTTAGATCTTTCAGGCTTCGGCAATTCCTATAAGAAGGCATAAAGTCTCTAAGAAGAAGCTACAATCTGTATCTAGGTTAGAGAAGGTGGATGAATTCTGCAGCAGACTCAGACTTGGTGATCTTGATTCAATATAGGAGACCTCAAAGATGGCGGCACTTTTCTTCCTGATGTGGCTGGCCCCTTGCATAAATGACCTGCTACAGCAGAGACAGGGCAGGCAGGCAACATCCAAGATAGTGAGTAGTTGAGAGGGTGAACAACTTATCCCTGTTTGCCCTGGAATTCCCCGGTATTAGTACTGACAGTCCCATGCCCCAGTCCTGAGCAAACTGGAATGTTTGGTCAGCCAAGTAATAAAAGAGTGTCCCAGAGTCAGCAGTTTAACTTTCTTACTTTGACAGTTTTGGTTTGGGCTATTTCACCAGAAACATGAGCAATTTTAAGATGAAATTGCCTAAAAGTTTGACTTATTGAGGCTAGCCCTTAATATTTAGCCTCAATCAAGATGATTTTGAGTCTTCCATTTTTCAGGAATTTTCTAACAATATAAGTTTGCAGGTGAATATGCTCTGAAGGTCTGGTGGCTACAAAATAAGCACATCAGAACACTACAGTTCTGCCAATCACTTGTTAATAGTTTACCAGAAATATCCAAAGAAATATTTGCACAACTCTTTTTTTTTTTTTGACATGGAGTCTCCCTCTGTCGCCAGGCTGGAGTGCAGTGGCGCAATGTCGGCTCACTGCAACCTCTGCCTCACAGGTTCAAGTGATTCTTCTGCCTCAGCCTCCTCAGTAGCTGGGACTACAGGCATGTGCCACCATGCCCAACTAACTGGTTTTTTTTTTTTTGAGACAAAGTCTCACTCTTGTCCCCAAGGCTGGAGTGCAATGGCACGATCTCAGCTCACTGCAACCTCCACCTCCTGGGTTCAAGCAATTCTCCTGCCTCAGCCTCCCGATTAGCTGGGATTACAGGCACCTGCCACCATGCCCGGCCAATTTTTGTATTTTTAGTAGAGACGGGGTTTCACCATGTTGGCCAGGCTGGTCTCGAACTCCTGACCTCAGGTGATCCGCCTGCCTTGGCCTCCCAAAGTGCTGGGATTACAGGTGTTAGCCACCGCGCCCAGCCCTAATTTTTGTATTTTTAGTAGAAACGGGGTTTCACCATGTTAGCCAGGATGGTCTTGATCTCTTGACCTCGTGATCCACCCACCTCAGCCTCCCAAAGTGCTGGCATTACAGGCATGAGCCCCCATGCCCAGTCTGCACAACTCTTAAAACAGATAAAATCAGGTCGATGGAATTAAGGCTCTTGGCAATTAGGAATTTATCCTGTGAAAAGGACAAAGCTTTAGTGTTCAGCCAAGAAGGAAAGGATCTAAATCTGATGTGGAATGTCTGTGAGCAAGAGGGAATTAAGAGAAATTTAAGTCAAAGATAATGAAATTCTTTTCAGCTTTAACTTGCTATAAATAAATAAGCTGTGCTGGTTCCAGAATTTTTTTTACCTAGGAGGGGCCTAGGGTGGCAATCTGACTGGAAGAGAGTGTGTGAAGTTGCATTTGCCTGATGCTTTAAGATTGAGAAAACAACAACTGTCCATCTCAAAGCTCCTAACCCCAGCCTCTGCATTGGTACTGCCTCTGCAAAGAAACAGCTTTATAACAAGTAGGCAGAAAAGAAAATGGAAGAAGTGGCCGTTTCATATATGGAGTCCCGTGCTCTTTAGATCCAGAAAATAACTCCATATATTGCACTATCAGAGAGATTTGAATGAGTGCTTTTCTGTAGTGTATTTCTAATTATTTAATACTTCCTTGGTACACTAGGACAAAAATAGCATATTTTGCATATCTATGACAAATATAGTGTTCGTACACACAGAACTGAGCTCTTATTTGGGGCAGATAAAAGAAAAATGGATATTTACTGTTAAGAAGTATGTACAACAGCAATAGAGAGGGAGTTGGTACTGTTTGAGAGAAAAATCAAAAGTAGATTTGCTCTGCTTTATTAGAAATAATTAGGGGCTGGGTGTGGTGGCTCACACCTATAACCCCAGCACTTTGGGAGGCTGAGGCTGGAGGATCGCTAGCCCAGGGGTTTAAGACCAGCTTGTACAACATGGTGACACAGGTGAGACCCTGTCTTTACAAATATATTTTTAAAAATTAGCCAGCCATGGTGGTGTGGACCTTTGGTTCCAGACACTTGTGAGGCTGAGATGGGAGGATCTCTTGAGCCCAGCAGGTTGAGGCTACAATGAGCCATGATTGTGCCATTGTACTCCAACCTGGGTAATAGAGTGAGACATTGTCTCAAAAAAAAAAAAAAAAAAAAAAGAAAGAAAGAAAGAAAGGAGAAAAAAAAAGAGAAATAACTAGGAAGCACATTTGTGAGGAAACTGATTTTTAAAAAGTGCCTCTAGAAAACTTCCGTAATTAAAAAGCTTGAAAAACTGATCTTTTACAAATGCCTCCCCACGATGAGTCTCAGAGAAGTAGATCCTCAAATGCTCACTAACCAAGGCTGATGGATGACTAATTGGCAGGAAACTAAAGGTTTGGACACATTATGATGAGAACAGCATTCCAATTGGATTTCCGTTTGGAGCTTGTACTCCGGTGAGTGAAGAGAAAAAGGGAAAACCACCGGAGATGAATCCATTATGGTCTATGGAAGGGCCACAGGGCTCCTCCCATTCTCTTATGACTACCTGAAGCAGCTTCCAGGCGGACACGTCCAGAGAGGGCACCATGGCATAGGAGAGCCAACTGTAATTTTTGGCTTGGTGTTAGTGGGTATGCCCCTCACCCCTAAGTTTCAGGTGTCTCTCAAATCCACAGAGAACAATAATGTCCAGTTCTTTTTAATACAGGTGGCAGCTGGTTGCAGAAGAAAGCGATTACCTTTGCATCTCTGGGGAAGAAAGTACCCACATACATGTGGCTGTGGTTTTCATCATACTGCCTCCCTTCTCTGGACTCTGCAGGGGCTTCTAGATGTCTCTTGGATCCAGTGAAGACAACTCAACTCTCTGTTTTTCGGCCTATTAGCCAAGTCCTCCATCACACTCCTCCTAAATGCCTTCATCTTTAGCTATAAGACAGCCCATACTGGCAAGCTTGCTAACGAGTGAAAAAGCAGCAGCCTGGCTTCCCACAGGGCAGTATGTACATTTTAATAGCAGGCTTCCAGAGACAGGGCACCTGCTGCCTGTCTCTACTTCCCAACCGGGACCTGGTGATGAAAACTTCAGCCAGGCCCAGAGGGAAGGGTGGAGGCTGTGAACTGCCATTATGCATATGCCTGGGGTTGTCCTGCCTTAATTTAAGACCATAAGCAATCCATCTTCTTCCAGAAACAGGGTAGAGCCTTCCCAGATCAACAAAGCTCTGTCAGAGCTGAAGGTACACCTGATTCCCTAGAGCACCATTGAACAAGCCGGATACAGTGCAGTTTGTTTCTCCTGGGCAGGCACACATGGCGTCTGCCAAAATGAGAACATCGTTCACTTACACCTGTTTATGGAAAACAAGATACAGAATGGCATTGTACTTGAGATTTGGAACCACCAGGAATCCTGTTCTGTCTCCCCAGGTATGCGGCTCTTGATTTGGGGTGTATATTCCAGTGATAAAGAAAAGAGACACAAATTCTCATAAAACAAGATGGAACATTTTAAACGGACACAGAAGTTATATGTTGGGGAAACATGGTAGGAAGATGGAAGAAGGGCTCATTCTGGCTAAAGAGGAGTAGGGCGGCAAGTTAGAGAATAGTATCTCAGAACTGATGCTATTTAAGGCAGGGCACAGGGGCTCCCACCTGAAATCCCAGCGCTTTGGGAGGCCAAGGTGGAAGGATGGCTTAAGGCCAGGAGTTTGAGACCAGACTGGGCAACATAATGGGGCTCTGTCTCTATAAAAAAAATTTTAAAAATTAGCTGGGTGTTGTGGTGCCCACCTGTAGTCCCAGCTACTTGGGAGACAGGCAGGAGGATAGCTTGAGCTCAGGAGTTTGAGGTTACGGTGAGTTACGATTGCACTACTGCACTCCAGCCTGGGCAACAGAGTGAGACTCTGTCTCTTAAAAGCAGAATTGATGCTATTTAAGTTTTCTTATAGGATAAGAGGCATTTTGGTGCTGAGAAAAAAGAGGGGATCTGGGATAGTGGGGAAACAACAGCCCAAAGGTCAGGTACTTCACAGGCAATGAGAGAATGCTGTGAGTAATGAGGCTGGACAGGTAGGTTCATGCCTCGGCTGCTGGCCTGCTTGAGGAAGCCAACTCGAGTAGTATTATGACAGATGGGTAGGTCAGAGGCAGGGAGGTCATAGTACACTTTTGTAAACACCCAAGGGACTGGTAGTTACACAGCTGAATACATACACAAAGCCCCTGAGCTATATACTTAAGATTTGTATATTTTACTGTATGTAAATGATAGCTTTAAAAAGTACTTAAAAAAAAAAAAGCCAAAGGGAGACAGTGCCAGCCTGTCCAGGAGTACGGGGGCTGGGAATAGTTAGAAGAAGACAAGCACACAAGAAAACCAGTCTCTTTACCCTGCAGTCAGGGACCCTCTCCCAGGGTCCTTCCCCTAAAAAGACCACTCTGATGTTTGCTAACAAAGCAAGGGTACCAGAATCAGAAGATGTCCGTGCTGAAGGGCACCATGGGAGACACACCTATTTCATTTTACATAGAAGGAAACCAAGGACCAGAGGGGCTATCATTTTATCCAGGGTTCTGTGGCCAGTTTAGAGGTAGAAGACCTAGGTTTGCATCCTAGTTCAAATTTCAATTCAAAGCTCTTTCTCTGCCCAACTGTTGCCAGCAGCCATCAGGAAATTTGAATGAATGACAGAATTCTGAAGCTATAAAAAAGTCAAACGTGAGTAGACAGGTAGCAGCATGGGTGAATGTTCATGGCAACGTTCATCATGGTTTGGTGAAAGCAGGTTACTAAACAATATCTATCACCGTGATTTTGTGGGGGCAAGTATAAGGAGAAGGAAAACCACAGGGATGATTGCCCACATATTAATAGTGCATTATCTCTGGGTAGAATTATAATTTTTTTTTTCACGTGGGAGGTTTTCTGCTAAAAACTGAAAAACCTGTTAGACAAATTCCAAAAGAGCTATAGGGCCAGTGTGGTGGCTCACGCCTGTAATCGCAGCACTTTGGAAGGCCGAGGCGGGCGGATCACGAGGTCAACAGTTCAAGACCAGCCTGACCAACAGGGTGAAACCCCATCTCTATTAAAAATACAAAAATTAGCTGGGTGTGGTGGCATGCGCCTGTAATCCCAGCTACTCAGGAGGCTGAGGTAGGAGAATCACTTGAACCCGTGAGGCAGAAGTTGCAGTGAACCGAGATTTGAGATTGCGCCACTGTACTCCAGCCTAGGCAACAGAGTGAGACTCTGTCTCAAAAAAGAAAAAAGAAAGAGCTATAACATTTATAGATAATTTTTGTGTGCTCTACCTTTTCCATTTAAAAAAATGAATATGCATCAAAGTTTTTATTGAAAAAAAAAGATTTGTATGACTATCTAGATTTTTGTCATAATTCCGAACTGGGCGTCTGCTTGTTTCACTAAAAGTAAACACTTCATGAGAACAAAAAATGAATCACTAGGTAAATATTGATCTGTTTCTAAGAGAACAGGAGACATAACATCCCACTGAAGCAAAGTTTTCCTCCAGACATTAAAAGATTAATTTATAATGTATCTTTGGGTAAATCATCTTAGAACAGATTTTCAAATTGACTTTAATGCTGAGGGGGAAAACAGTAATCCCTGCTCCTCGAGCATGCTTTCGATGTTCACCTTTCATCAACTTTTTTTCTATACCAGAACAGTAAGAAGACACGTCCTGATTCCGCGCATGTCATCATAACCAGCTACCCGCGGTCAGGATTACTGACTAATATTCACAGCTTGTTGTAAATCAGTTAACAGAACTTTCCAGCCTAGGCGAGTGCTTGTGAAGGCTGCAGACAGGCTTCCTTGTAGGAAAAAAATCTTCAAAGTCCCAGGAGAAGCACTTTCCCTCATAACAGACGTGTTTCCTGCCCTTAGCTTTCAACACATGGGAGGTTGTTATAGTCATGTGACACAGAAAAAGACTATGGGGGACAGTAGCTTCCAGTGGAGTGACAGAAACAGAAAGAGGGTCAGATGGGAATCAAAGGTCACCCAGGGGCTGTCATCATCAGGGGCTGGCCTCTGCCTCAGTTCTCTCACTTGTACCCAAGAAAAGTCCCTGTTCACTTCCCCAGAGATAGGAAGGCAGCCAACCTGGTGTCACACTCCAGTTTGAGTTCAGTTTCCCTCTCTGCTACTCCCAGTTTCCTCATCCCTAAAATGAAAGGAAAAATGAATCCAACCTTAAGGTTGGTAAGACTGAATGGCATAACGTCTATGAAAGGTACTCAACAAATTTCAAATGCAGTAGTAACGCGGACAAAAGAGAGTGGTAATGTGAAAACATTTTGGTGATATGAGACATGAACACAGGATACAGTGATTCCTAAAATTAGAATCTAAATCAGAAATAAGAGGTGAGTTGAAGGATGGGGGGGCAATAAAGTGAATCCTTTTGCCCTTTAGTCATTTGTCATGTTCAAGTCAGATTGCTCGGGTGTTTAGAATTTAGCTGCTTAAGTAATGCTCCAACATGCTCTAAGAGGGCTGGTCCTATCATCAAAGGGAGAGGCTTTGGAAGGAAATTGGTTCTGGAGAATTTGTCCCTTCACATACACCTTCAAACCATAGCTAAGTCATAAACAATCATCAGGTTTGCCTTTAACTTAGGCTGACCTCCACCACTCCCTAGTTCGGGCTTCACCAGGAGAGAGGGTGGCAATCAGCCAATGACCAGGGGGCTCCATGCTGATGCCCCTGGCTTAGGCTGATGCTAATTTTCTAAACACAGCCACGAGGTCCAAGGAGATGGGGCTGGGGATCCACTTCCATAGGAGGAGGTGGGTGGGAGCCATTTCAGTAGAGGTCACACCTTAGACTCATCAAGAAAATGTGCTAGAGAGGGAAAAAAGCAAAGAGAAACTGTTGGGCTTAATGTCTCTGGATTATTTTTAAAAGGAAAAAAAAGAAAAGGAGGTAAAAACTGCCACAGTCAGCTTTCTTTTACACTTTGAACAATTAGTATGGAATCAAACCTTACATGATGTTTTTCTGGAGCCTGGGCAATAGCAGCTTTTGCATGGCTTCCTTCCTCTAATTACTCAGGAACCAATGCTGGGTGGAAATTTGCACTCATCTGCACAGAAACTTGCAGGGTTTTAAATACTTTGGTTTTCAAGAGCTCTCTAAGAATGAGATGACAAAAGAACTGGGTCTAGCAGTCCTACCCAAACTGTAAGCTGAAAGTGAGTGCAAATTTCAGTAACAGTCGAAGTTATTGATCTAAATTAAGTATTAAAAAAAATTCAGGCCGAGCGCCGTGGCTCATGCTTGTAATCCCAGCACTTTTGAGGCTGGCAGATTACCTGAGGTCAGGAGTTCAAGACCAGCCTGGCCAACATGGTGAAACCCCGTCTCTACCAAAAAATACAAAAATTAGCTGGGCGTGGTGGCACGTAGTCCCAGCTACTGGGGAGGCTAAGGTAGGAGAATCGCTTGAACCTGGGAAGCAGAGGTTACAGTGAGCTGAGATCATGCTACTGCACTCCAGCCCGGGTGACAGAGTGAGACTCTGTCTCAAAAAAAAAAGAAAGAAAAAAAGAAACATTCAAAATATGACTATGACAAATACTGGATGATTTTCAAAACATATACCGTGCACACCCTTTACAGAGCTGATTTTTAACTGCAAACACTGCATATAAGAACACCATGTCCTTGCTCTTGTGCCTGGCTGTGGAGGCTACTGTAATAAAAAGTCCCCTCAGCAGGGGCAGTTCCAAATTCAGTATGATGACATTTATAGTGTCCACCACTATTACGCAATCTCTCTCTTGACTTGGGGTCATGACATCACTGTCACAACTATGAGAAAACTGCATAAGAATACCGCCCATGTACACCCAAAACACCTAAAGCACATAATAGTACATGTGAAAATTAACTAGACAACTACACAAAGCAGGGGCCCAGACTCTCAGATGTTCATTGCCTATTTGTCTGCTCTTAGAAGAGAATCATTCACCCAGTGTCCCCAACAGCCAAAAGAGGTGATGAGAGGTGCTATCAGGATGCAGGGAAGAGCTTCTACCACCACTGGGTCTTAGCAACTGCATTAGTCATGTGCTGAACGGACACACTTGAGGAAGACATCTCTCTGAGTAGCTGCAGCCTGAGAAGGCACAGGCAGAATGGAGTAAGCTTGAAAAAGCACAAAGCGAGTGAAGCAGCATGACAAAAGGAGTGGGGAATTCAGACCCACTGTGCACGAGGCTTGGCCTGAGCCCTGGAGGAAGACACAGTCATTCAGAAGACATCTATAGAGAAAAAGTGAACACTGCATCTCTTGAAAACAGTATGTGTGACACAGAGTGCAGATTCCCTTCATTTTACAACTACAGTTTCCTCTGTCAGAAGCAGAGCCCGCCCCTGCTGCCTCCAAAATACAGATCTGGAGGAAGGTGCAGTGGCTCATGCCTGTAATCCCAGCACTTTGGGAGGCCAAGGCGGGCAGATCACTTGAGGTCAGGAGTTCAAGACCAGCCTGGCCAACATGGCGAAACCCCGTCTCTACTAAAAATACAAAAATTAGCCGGGCATGGTGGAGCACACCTGTAATTCCAGCTACTCCAGAGGCTGAGACACCAGAATCGCTTGAACCCGGGAGGTGGAGGTTGCAGTGAGTCGAGATCATGCCACTGTACTCCAGCCTGAGTGACTGAGCAAGACTCTATCTAAAAAAAAATACAGATCTGGGCTTCTATAGGGAAACCTGGTTCACTCATACAAAGCACTCTCTTTAAGTGCATTCTCTTAGCTAATGCTTGGTACATTTTTCAACAAGGCAGATGGAGAGTACTCAACTAATGGATCTGTGCTTTTTTGCTTATTAATTATTTTGGGTGAGGATAGTTTCTCCATCCTAGAACTGGCAACAAAGCATTCGTTAAAGGACTAGAATATTGTCCAACTTTTCCATATCTGCCTAAAAATGACTACTATTTTCTGCAAAGTCCCTGTCATGGATAATGACATCACACTGTAGAGGAAGGAATGTTTCAGGCAACAGAGATCTGATTCTCTCCTACCCTCCAGGATTCAAACACTAGACTGCAATCAGACTGTGGCTATTTTAACACCAGTGACGTCATATCCCATTGATGCCTTAAGGACACGATGAGAGAAGTTTCTTCTTTGAACATCACACAAAGCCAAATACATCAGCAGCTGAGCATACAGAGGGCATGAGGTCTACTCACTCTTTGGTCAGAAGAGGACAGGACTTGAGCAGAAAGCGTGAGAGCCCCGAGTCCTGGAAGTAGAGGTCAGGTGGGGCTGTGGGGCTCTTCAGGTTCAAACACCGGACGATCACGTACAGCACAGCAGCCACTGCAGCCAGCTTCACTCCATCAAACACGGCTGGGAGTTCGGGAGTCTCCAGCATGGCATTCATCTTGATCTGGGGAGCAGAGGCACAGGTCTAAGTTTACAAGCACAGTGAGGACGGGTGGTGCCCACCACCCTACAGACGCATGGTGGGCTAAGAGATACTGCCAGTGACGGTGTGTCACAATTCAGATGTTTCCGCAGGCTCCTGACAGGCAGACACCACCAGCATCTTACAGCTACTAATCAACTGGCCATAATCCAAATCACAAACAGTCTGAGCATGGATAAACTGGGTACTGTGTTTTCTTTTTATAATTTCACAAGCATTTCTAAGATGAGCAAATCAGAAAATTGAAAAATGCTAAGAATAGTGTCCTTTATCGGAGGGGGAAAAATAAGATCAGTCGAAGAGGTGGCTGCAGGACTAGGGGTAGCACTTTGATTTTTGTTAACAGGTCATCCTTTTGTTTTTTTTCCTCTCTGTAGGCTTAACCTGCACCTGGTGCCCCAGGTGTGTGTTAAATGTTGTGTTTACAGCCTTGAACAGAAACCCGGAAAGGACTGCTGGTGCCACCAGGTGTGGTTGTACTGCCTGCTGGCTTCACCCCTTTATTTGCAGAGCAGGCTGAGATAAAGCAACCTCAGCCTGACTCAGCCATCTGCTCCCCACAGGCTCCCCAGTGCTGGAGTCTGGGTCAGACTCAGCCCAGGTCGCAGCGATCCTGGCTACTAAGGGTTTCAGGAATGAAATAGAGCTCGGCTAGTTTGTTTTGTTTTGTTTTTTCCCCCTGCGGAGGCTACCTGACTATAGCCATTAGTCCAAAATTAGGTTAAAAGTAAACCAAATTGACCACTAGGTCAAAATCTAAAATTGGAATACAGAAAATGTATATGCTCATCTGGCCTTTCCCAAGCTCTCCCAATATTTCTCTTTTGAAGTAACTTTACCTTATATACAAAACACACACACACACACACACACACACACACACACACACACACACACACACACACACACACATACCTCCAAACATATAAAACCAAACATAAGCAATGACAAAAGCAACAGCAACAAAAATCCAGTATTTTCCTTGCTGCTCGGCAGAAAAACAGAACATCAGCTGTTAACCTTAAAAATCAGGGAAATCACAAGCTAACAAAAAAGAGAAAATGGTAACTCTCATAGCCAAGGTAGCTATGGCAACAGCTTCCCCTGGAATGGTTTCAAGTAGCCTCTGCTAACAACAGTCATCATGAGAGCTCTGGTAGCCAGTGCTAGAGACAGGCAGAACAAAACAATCTCCACCAACTGTGTTTGGGGTATAACCGACTGAACTTTCCTAAGACCTACAGTAAGTCCAGAGAGGACTCAGAAACCCTTTTCTAAACTCGAGGTCACTTTGGCAGAAAATCTCTGGCAGGGATTCCTAATTCAGTAATGAATGGAAGTAAAAGATCACAGCTCCGTAACTAGTCTTCCACCATCAGGGCAAGACAAGGATTTTTAAAAACTTACTGACACAATTTCAAATCAAGGCTAGGCCATGAATATAAACTCAGCTACACTGAACTTCTGTGAGGAGACAGTTTTCCTAAAACTTAACTTCTGGGCTGGGCACCATGGCTCATGCCTGTAATCATGCACTTTGGGAGGCCAAAGTGGGTGGATCACTTGAGCTCAGGAGTTCGAGACCAGCCCTGGCCAACATGGTGAAATCCTGTCTCTACCAAAAATACAAAAATTTGCCGGGCGTGGTGGCACATGCCTGTAATCCCAGCTACTTGGGAGTCTGAGGCAGGAGGATCACTTGAACCCGGAAAGCATAGGTTGCAGTGAGCCAAGATCACACCACTGCACTCCAGCCTGGGGACAAGAGCGAAACGCCGTCTCAAAAAAACAAAAACAAAAAACAAAACAAAAAAAACTTAACTTCTGGTGACACTCCTCCTCACTCCTGGGGTCATATCCCCTGAAAGCTGTCTATAAACCCCTAAAACAAGGATCCTTAACTTGGGGTCTGTGGGTTCCCTGTGGGATCCTGCGGTCTAAGAACCCCCTGAAATCATGTGAAAGTTTGTGCACATGAGCAGTTTTCTGGGCAGAGGGTTCGCAGCTTTAATCAGATTCTCTAAAAAGGGTCTGTGGCCTAAAAAAGTACATAGCACTGCACTAAGATGCCCAATAGGTTTAACCTGTGGCTGCCATTCCTCACCTTGTCCAAACCCTGCCACGGATGCCAAACAAAGGCTAAACAAATGTCCAAGATGATGCAGCTTGTTAATATAGGCTTTTAAGTCTCCACATTCTATTAGAGGACCAAAACTAAAATCCACCAGAAATTCTCTGACTATATGCTGGTAATACAGAACTGAACTAGAAGTTCTTCCTCATCACCTTTGTTGGAAACAGAACAGGGTAATGCAGCAAGTAGTTTCTACCAGTTTCCTTGTTGGTTTGGGGTGGACTTGTTGAATTAAACAAGTCAGTCCTTCCCTTCCCACTTCTATTCACTGCTTCCTAACATAAGGGGAGGAGAAACAAAAATAAGAGTCTCAGCAATACATACCAATGTTACTTATTCTTCCCACTGCAAATACGAATTTTCCTTGAAGAGTTGTACAGTTGGGCCGGTCAGGTCAGATCTCTTATTCAAACAAACCTAAAAGCTAAAAAGATTGGATGGTAATGTTTTAAAGAACGAAAAAGAAGCAGTTTAATTGAAACGTAAGCACAGTCAAGTTCCTCTGCATTTAAAGTCTTTAGGGAAAAGACAATTTTGTTAATTAACATGTATGCCACACTCTTGAATGTTTGGCCTTTTTAACAAGCCTGCTGCGGGAAGGCTTTGTGAATCCACCAAGACTGACAGGCTCTCTCTGGTTTCTAGGACAAGTTTTCTGCTGTGTTCCTAATTCTGGCTAAAGCCAATTCACACTGCTTTGAACCTTTATCTCACAACATAATCTCCAGAAATGCCTAACAGGACAGGTAACATCTCTGTGTGACCAATGAAATAACTTAGCAAGGCTTGAGATCGAGACAGCACAGCCAGTCGACTTATTTGTTCTCTTCCAAACATACAGCAGGGACAGAAAAAAATATGAGCTGAGAAAAGTAATAGGGCACAGATGGGCTCAAAAACAAAGTACCAGAAACAGAACAGGGCCAAAAGCAAAAGGTAGGGGATTGCATTGCTTGTAGGGTCTGAGTTCAGACTATGGCCAGAGGCTGGCTGCTGAGAAGCGCCAGAAGCTAAAAGTGCTTGCTGTCAGATGGGGGACCTGAGCTGAGCCTAGTGCAAGAAGCTGCTAAAAGATCTATGGCTTCCAAAGCAGCAGAAGCAAAAGAGAGAACATGGGGGAAACAGCCCAATGTTTATGCAGCACTATCTACGTGCTAAGCTCTGCTCTTCAAACTTGACATATGGTAGCTCATTTAATCCTTCCTGTACCCTATGAGGTAGATGCTATTATTACCCCATTTTATAGACAAGGTAACTGAGACATAGAAAGTTTAAGTTACTTTCCCAGTGTCATACAGCTGGTGGGTAGAAAAGCCAGCTTTCATATCTGGCCCAAGAGATCCTCCTCTTAATCACCATGCTGTGCTACTTGAAGGCAGGTAAGTGAGAAAGAAAGAGAGGCAAGCAAGAAAATGGATGGTGCAGGAGACACACACAAGACACCAGAGGCTTGCCCAAAGTCAGACAGCTGTAAACAGCAGAGCTGGGATTCAAGCCCAATTTCTTTTTTCTGATTCTACCACACCAAAATGACCTCAGAAGAAAAACAAAGCCCATTGAAGGAAAGAATCAATTAACCTTCAGAACAGTCTTGCCCAGCTTCCAATTATTATCTGTCCCTATTCTGAGACAAATTAGTCATAGAGGACCAGGCTGTGGTGAGGTGGGGCCGGAAGAGCAAAGTCTTCAGCCACATCACAGGCCACCTGACCCCACAGGCTTGGCTGCCAAATGAAAAACAGGGCATGGACCAGATCAAAGATCCTAAACTGGCAGCCCATGGGGCAGGCAGTGTTGCATTCAGCTGGCATTTAAAAAAAATTAATTTATTCATTGCCATATTATTAACACCAGGAGATTTCAGATAAAAATCTAGATTTCTGGTTTCTCTTGGAAACAAAATCAGAAGATTTGGCAACACAGGGCCAGCATTCTCACACGGCAACAATGGACAGAGCTGAGCAGGGCTGCCCCGCTTCAGACCCAGCAAGCTCTCTCCAGGTGGCCACAGTCCCCACCACTCCCTATTAGTGGTGACCTCAACACTGATCCCTGGCCCGCTTTAATAATGTATGGTACCTGAATGGTCCCCGTAAGCATCTGAATATGCAACCTTTGGAGAAAAGCATCTAAGGTCCCTTCTAGCCCTGAAAAGGTCTGTGTTGACTGAATATTTGAAAAATATACAATCAATATATATATATATAAATAAAAAATCCCTAGAAAAAATGATGGAAAGGCAGAGTGGCAATGCTGATAGGATAACAAGATGTAGTGCCTTTTATTTATTGATATTTTCATTGAGGTTTATTTATACCTTAACTCTTTCCACAAACTATTTGAGACAGCTTCAAGAAAACACCCTTACTGAATCTATATGCATAGGGAAAGATATGGAAATGTATAAGACTGGTGAATGCTTTCTGGCTTCCCTTAGCTAGGTGAGTCCATGTAACTAAATTCTGGTCAGCTCTGGAGGGGTAGATCTAATTTTTGGGAAAGCTCCTTAGAGGGCAGGGAGTTCACCCTTTGTCTGCCCTTTTCCCTTCTTGCATCCCTGGAATGCAGAAAACATGGCTGCAACTCTAACAGCCCTCTTGGGCCATGAAGTGACCTTGAAGTCTCTCTAGGAGCCCCATTAAGATGACAGCAGGGCAGAGAGACAGAAATCTGAATTCTTGACAACTTAATGGAGCCACCATATCAGATCTAGACTGCCTATCTCAGGACTTCTTTTACATGAGAGAATGAGCAGTTGAAGCCACTGTGACTTCTAGACTGTTTTACTTGGCAATTTCTAAAGATATAGAAGGAAAATTATATATTCAAATCTTTATGAATGCTAAAATCACTGCGTTATAAGAGTATTGGCGACTTCTTTTTTTCTATTTCCCAAAATTCATAATGACTACAAACATTTTTATTATTAGAACAAAGCTTTAAAATAGCAACTAAGAAAATCTAAGGAGAAATTTTAAAACACTGGAAAGGAAAATATGTATGTCAACATACACAACAATTATATATGTGATAAAGCTTTAATGCATGTGATTATGCTTTAATTAATTTATCTGAGCTTTCTGACTGTCAGGGGGAAAAGGGAAACCCAGTCAGACCTATGGTTTCCAAAATGGAAAGAGAGCTAACATATATTGTGCTCTTACGCCCAGTGGCATAAGAGAAACTCTGTGGAAACAGGGCTTATCTGGCACAGAATTATTTAAAAAAAATGTGGGACTTTATGTAAGGGGACCTTGAGTGATGTGACAGACAATGTCCTCCCACAACTTTTTTTAAATAGCAAATGCAGTAGAGAATTAATTTCCTCAACCCTCAAAAAATGCCAAGGTTTTAAAATTCAATTCAATTCAGGGAAGGCAATTCTATGAGAGATTTATAATTATTGTGGTCCAACTACACAGCCTCGATCCAAGGTTTCAACCTGAAGTCCTGAGGTACAGGTCAGTTCTGCATGTCCCTGGGGGTACTCCCTGGAGTTTCAGCAGGCTTAATTAAGTACCTGACTACCTCCTGTGCACCTAGCACTGTGAAGGTTGGCAGTTAAGTAAATTCTCATTTTAACCAGGGAGAAAAGAAATTTATGTTAAGGCTATCTGTACTTTAGAAGCTTAGATAAAAATCAGTCCAGAAAAAAAAAAATTAAGCAAGGAAGTCCTCATGGAGCAGCTAGATCTAGAACCCAGCCTTAGCGAATGAAGTACAGTTGTTCCTCCTTAACTGCAGGTTCAACCAATCAGATGAAAATTTTTGAAAAAAAAGACAATAAGGCCGGGTGCAGGGGACTCACGCCTGTAATCCTAGCACTTTGCAGGCCGAGGCGGGCGGATCACTTGAGACCAGGAGTTCAAGATGAGCCTGGCCAATATGGGGAGACCCCATCTCTACCAAAAATACAAAAAAATTAGCCAGGTATGGTGGCACGTGCCTGTAATCCCAGGCTGAGGCAGGAGAATCACTTGAACCTGAGAGGTGGAGGTTGCCACACTACCACACTCCAGCCTGGGCAACAGAGTGAGAGTCCGTCTTAAAAAATAAAAAAAAAGAAAATAAGAGAAAAGATAGTATAAAAAGAAAAATTTAAATAAAAGCAATACAGTATTTAAATTATTTACATCATTTACTTTGTAATAGGTATTATAAGTAATCTAGAGATGATTTAATGTATATAGGAGGATATGCATAGGTTATATGCAAATACTATGTCATTTTATATCAGACTTGATCATCTGTGGGTTTGGTATCTGCAGGGGAACTGGAACTATTTCCCCAAGGATATACAGGAACGACTGTATAAAATGTAGAAGCATGTGTAAGTATGAGTGTGTGCATGTACGTGCATATACATAGGTATTAAATGAGGAGATAAGTAATTTTAGAAGAAAAATTTTCACATTCACTTTATCTTGCTGCATTTTGTTTTATGGTATTCTTTTTTCCCCAAGTCTGACTTGTCACTATATATTAATATTCTGAACTTGTTCTAGATACAGCAAACTCTGATTCCATTGTATTATTTTGTGTGGCCCTCCCCACTTTCCAGACAGGTGAAATCCAGTTAAAATGAACATCAGGCAGCCTAGATAGGGAAAAGAAGTCACAGAGAACAGCTGGAGGGCTGGGTATGTCGCAGATGGAAAGGAAGCGTCTCCCTACCCCCACCCCAAACCCAGCTCCACCTTCATGATGGGCTGGGCTTCCTGTGTCCCTGTGGCAATCCCTTCTCTGTCGGCTAGCCCACACCTTCCCTGCCATTTTATGAATGGGATTTAGGTGCTGTAAATGGTAGTCAGAATTCCATTTATAGTCCGCATTAACAAAGGAAACCAAGGTGCTACCAAATGCCCAACATCTAGTCACCAAAGGAGCTCCCAGTGTTGCCCCTGGTCTCTAAGACAAGCTTGACTGGTATTTCCACCAGAGGTGAAGGCCTGAGCTGTGTCTCCCATGCCTCTTTCTGCTCTCCCCTGGCTAAAAGCATTATTTTCAGATGGAGGCACAGATAGAGTGAGAAACTGCCACTGCACTGGGAAAAGCTCCAGTCTGGGGGCTCTGAGACCTGGGTCCTAGTGTCTGCTCTGCCCTTTCCTGGCTGATGACCTTGAATCAAGGCACTTAATCTTTTTGGGCCCTAAAGGCCCCATCTGTAAAATGAGAAGGTTAGATTAGAAGTAGATGATGCCAAAGGTCTCTTTCAGCTAGAAATGTCTGAGATTCTAGGGACAGAATTGCGGTCCTCGGCTAAAGAGCACAGGAAAAAACTATCGCTGTACTTTGTAACAGAAAACGGCCATTTTCCAGCCTACTTCATAGATGATTACACAGTAAAATTCTTAAGAACTAACAACCCTCAGGGCCTTTGTTCTTTCTTCAAATAAATTAAACAGTTATATATTTTCTTTCAGCTGTGCCAATAATTTCATCATATTCATTCCACCTGCATGGGATCGTGATGCTTTCAGCCTTGGAACACCAATATTCACTGACAGGACACAACTTACAGTGCGGAAAGCACGAACAAACAGAGCAGAGAGATCCCAAACAAAGGAAACCCATTACCTGGTGTAGCAAGTTGAATAGGGACCCTCCCCACAAAATTCATGTCCATCTGAAACCAGTGAATGTGACGGTATTTGGAATTGGGTCTTTGCAAATGTAATCAAGTTAAGATGGGGTCGTACTCGTTGGAGGGAGTCCTAACCCCATGACTGGTGTCCTTGGAAGAAGTGAAATCTGGATACAAAGACACAGATACAGAGGGGAGGAGGCCACGTGAAGATGGAAGTGGAGACTGGAGCCACGTATCTACAGCAAGCAATGCCAAGGATGGCTGGCAACCATCAGAAGAGGAGACAAGCAGGGAACAGTCTTGCCTTCAGAGCCTAAGGAAGGAGCCAACCTTGTAAAACCTGTTTTCAAACTTCTAGCTTCTAGAATGGTGAGAGAATATGCCCAAATTACCTCTCATGACTCAGGAGTTCCACGCTCCTGTCCTTAGTGGCTGAAGGGACCGTTTGCCACTTCCTTCTGAAAGGACCCTTGTTACTCAGACACGCTCCCATCAATTCAGATGACAGCTAACTGACATGAACACCCACAGATGACTTCTTAACATAATACAAATTGCATTCTGTGAATAAATACTTATTGGCTTGGCTTCTTTGCCTCTGTGATTCAGCTATCAGAACCATCCTTTCCTTTCCTCTTAGCTATCAGCAAAGTGAGAGAGCTCAGAGGACACAGACAGCTGGGGGAGGGGGAGATCTCTCTTCCTTGCAACCCTCAAGGACCTAGCACAACAAGCTTTGATACTTATGGGTCCTAAGGCAAATACCTCTCAAGGAAAACCAAACCAAACCCCTAAAGGATTTCTCTGTTCCAATTCCATCTGGTTGAAGATGTAAATTTCATTTAGGGTCCAGTCCTGCAGTGACACAGCCAGTGCCAAATCCAGCCACAGTGTTTGTCCTGGGGCAAGTTCCTTAATCCCTCTGAACACCATCTGTAAACTGAACATGTTAATACATAAAGAGCATTTTAAAACAATGCCGGCATACAATACTACCGTATTTTTAATATTTTGGGGTACTACCGCAAAATATTCGCTATTACCATCTCCACTATTAAACTTTCCTCCATTTTGCCTCAGTAAACAACCTAAGTTGACAGATAGAAACGACCACAAAACATACTCCTTCCTAACTGACACACAAGTCTCATTAGCAATGAACTCACTAGCTGATTAACTGCTTGGGCCTCCTCCAATGAGTTTAAAATTAATTCCAGGACATACTCTTCTTGATTCTTCTAAAATGGAACCATATCTTCTAAAATGGAACCATGTTAGACTTAATAAATCACTGGATACTAAGTGGTGATCATCATGTCCCATAAACAGTTCCAAGATGCATTGTTCTTGTTTTCTGTGCTAAAATGCATCCTTGGCAGTGCACAGCTGGAACCCCTGCTCCTGACACCACCCCTCTCCTGCTGAGGGGCTTCTCCTGCCCATGGAAAGACTACCCATTCTTCCCTGCAGGTAAAAATCCCCTCTTGCCTAGCCTGGATCTCCCAGCAAACTGTAATGCCCTGAGATAAAACTTTGTCCCCCAAAGTACCCTGTGAGGATGTCAGGAGAAGGACAGCAGAAGGCCACAGCACACCACCCCAAAAACATGGTCTGTTTCCATCCCATGTCATTCTGATTTTTCAGCCTCTTTGGTGGCAGCTTAGATAAAAGTACAACCCCATCTTAACTTGATTACATCTGCAAAGACCCAATTTCCAAATAAGGTCACATTCACTGGTTTCAGATGGGACATAAATTTTGGAGGGTCACTATTGAACTTGCTACACCAGATAAAAGTGGTCAACCTTAAATGTGGGCAACATGACACCCTTGGAGAGAAAGTAAGGAGGAAATGGGCCACCTTCTCCCCACTTTATCTGCCATTTAACTAAATTAGTCAGAGCCATCATAGGGGGAAAAAAACCATTCTGCAGGGACGAAAACAAGCCCAGATGATTTTGGGGAGAAGGCCTAGCCATCCCCGTCTGAGTTGTGCCTTTGTGTCCTCTGAGTCTTTCACTGCCATGGGATGGGAGAGCCTCAGAACATAGCCAGGAGGCTTCGGGAACTGCACAGCCCTGGCGACCCGGCCCTGTTCTCACTCTCGGTAAGGTCTAATGAGGTGAGTGAGCACCTTAGCCAGCAGCTCACAGACCCACCTTTTAGCAAATCGGTGTTGGTCTAGGACCACGTGTCCTCCCACAGAGGGTTCTGTGGAATGGAGTCATCACGGTGCTCAAATACTCTGGGTTTGTTTGTTTTTGAGATGGAGTTTCGCTCTTGTCGCCCAAGCTGCAGTGCAATGGCACAATCTCAGGTCACTGCAACCTCTGCCTCCTGGGTTCAAGCCTCTGGCGTAGCTGGGATTACAGGTGGGTGCCACCATGCCCCACTAATTTATTGCATTTTTAGTAAAAACGGGGTTTCACCATGTTAGCCAGGCTGGTCTCGAACTCCTGACCTCAGGTGATCCACCTGCCTCGGCCTCCCAAAGTGCTGGAATTACAGGCGTGAGCTACTGCACCTGGCCAATACTCTGGGTTTTAAAAGACCACCTCTCGGCTGGGCACAGTGGCTTACATCTATAATCCTGGCCATTTGGGAGGCCAAGGAGGGTGGATTGCTTGAGCCCAGGAGTTCAAGACTAGCCTGTGTGACATGGAGAAACTCCGTCTCTATTGTTTAAAAGAAAAAAAAAAAAGACCTCCTCTCACCACCACCACCACCTCAAGCCAGAAGGGATGGGAAAGCCCTGGAAACAATAGGGCCAATCCTGTTTTCCAGAGATGCTGAGAAACACTGATTTTTGAACATTAACTAACTCAAGCCAGGGACTGCCCTGAAAGGGCGGGAGTGGGTTACCATAACAAGGAAGGATAAAGCCCTTGGTTGATCCAGTCCATCTCTTACAAACCAGGTCCTACAAGGTGAAGGGATCATCAAGTCACACACAATTTAGTAGAAGAGAACTGGAGGGATTGACAGATAATTAAATGTATTTACGGCAAGGTTGCCCTTTGTTGTATTCAAGATAAGTCCTTGAAATTGTCTTTCTGTGCAAACCTACTCATGTGATAACAGTTTTATTTAGCCATATTTCTTCCACAAAGTCATAAGGTCACACACTCAATCTGCTGGAATTTCAGAAAATAGTCTACAAGTTCTCAGGGGGAGTCAAGTTACCCAATGCAGGAAAACGTGAACCTCACATTTAAATGTCAGGAATGGCTACTAACCCATGAGCTTCCACAAAGAAAGTTACCAAACTAAAAATGTCTGAAGACTGAGTCACCAGTTAAACAGGAACATTTAATCGGGCACTTTTACGTGCCCTTACTAAAATACTGAAAGGAAGCTGGCCTCTTCCACTAGCAAATAACCCTGCTGAAAGAATAGTACTGGCTATGAGAGAACGAATGGGTAAAGCACTTAGTAAAATCACAGGCAAAATTGTTTTCTCTTTCACTGAGAAACCATGAATCCATACCTGAGAACAAACAAAAAAATCTTACGCCAGGTGTTTCCTCTAGGGAGGTTCTAGATTTTCTAAGAGAACAGGCATATGAATTGTGAGATTTATCCTAAACATATTTTTAAAAATCTACACCATAATTAAATTCTGTAATATCAGAAGCAAAATTGCAGTTTACCAGAACCCAATGAGCTCAAGTGCCTAGTTTACTGGAATTTTTAAGAGAAGGATACAACTGAAGAAGAGGGCATCTCCAGATTGATTGTCCTGGGCACCATAGAGATGCCACCCACTCTTCTATGTCTGGAAATAAGCTTCCAGAAGGAGGAAATGGAGATGGGGGTGGGAGGGCAAGACCCAGTGCCTGGCACAACCGTTGCCTGAAGAACCACTCAACCCATCTAACTCCCTAAGGCAGGCAAAGAAGAAAGTTTCACCCAGACCTGCAACAGAAAAGGACTTACAGCTACTCTCAGTTAATGAGAAAATAAAAATAACTGGGACTCACCGTTCCTGAGCGTTCTGGTTTCCCAACGCCGACTGGGAGCAGACAAGGCTCCCAGTGCCCCCAGTACTTGGCTAATACACACTGTGGGGCCCGTGATGACAGCATTAACACGTGCAGCCCATTATCACTCTAACAGTCTTGCATTTCACCATGGCAGGCATTTGTGAGGAAACCCGACCAATGACCAATGGGCCACGACCCTCTCCTCCCCTGCCAATTCAGCAGGGATGAGAACAAGCCCAGATGATTTTGCCAAAGGAGAGACTTGCTCGGCCCACTCACCCCAGCTGGGCAAAGCTGAGGTCACTCACCCATCCATCTCTTTCAGCTGTGTGGCTCTCTGATGCTGAATTCTGCCACCTGGGAGCAACAGCGCCCCTCAGGGCTCGGCCACCAGACCCTGTTACACAGGGAGAGACAGCAGAAAAAGCTCTGTGATCCTTGCCCTCCAAGACCAAGAGAAGGTTCTGGGGGCAACAGTACATAGTGTGCACAGCATTTTGAGGCATGCTTTACTTATTTCTGTTTTATAAATACCTCGGACGCTGTGAGTAGAAACAGGATCTCCTGCCAGTTTAGAGCAGAAGGCCTGAAGGTCACATGGATTCCTCTGTGACCAAGTCTTAGGAGACAAATGCTACCAGCTAAATCCAGATAAATATGAAGGATTCATCTGTGCCTGAAATGAAAAAGGGATATTGTGAGATAGGCACCTATCTGGTGCTGAACATGCCAGCCCAACACTGGGCCTCCAGGGAGCCCTGCCCAGCTTCCGCCATCAGTCCTGCTGATTATGAGAGCTAAAGAGCTTTGCCCCCAACTTGTAGGTCACAACCCAAGTGGAAAGACCCAGAGATTCTGGATTCTGGATGTCAGAGGAGGGAGAGGATCCCATTTGTGTCTCTACACTACTTGTCTCCAGTGCCATCTGGAGTTATTCCAACCCTTACCCCCCTGAACATTCTGTGCTGTACAGCTCTGGGCAGATCACTTGCACTTTTGGAGGATTTTGAGGCCTAACTTAAGAGTCCATGTGATATAACTGAATGACACAGGGGCGAAGGTTTTGGAACCAGGAGACCTGCGTTTGATTCCAGATTCTGCCAAGTGACCTTGGGTGAATTATCTAAACATTATGAAGATTTGTTTTTTCTTCTATAAAATGGGGGAAGGGAGGTTACTTTACGTGTAACTGAAGGAAAGAAGTTGATGAAATTCTGTAGGCTAAAAAAAATGACTTAAAATAATAAAATATGCACGGATATCCTCAAGATAAGGTTCGTAAAATGCTTTCAGCTCTTTAGCAGAAAGCTGCTTTATTAAATATTTCAAGATTAGAAAAATGTTAGTTTTAAAGCAACTGCTAAGGAATTGTAACACATGAGGAGGATGAGAATTGGTCCCCAAGTAGTCCTGAGCTTGACTTTATCACATCTTTGCATTGAGGATACCGAATGATCTAAAAACTAAAAACTCGAAAGGAAGCCCTCTGGGTTGATGTATTTTAGGGTCTTAGCTCAGTGGATTGCTTTTTCAAGTAAAGAGACAGAAGTAAGTTCATGCCCTCAAGTGTTCCTCTCTCCCGTCCGTCCACCACAAACACTCCACTATTGTTCCAAGGCTCACTCCTCCTGCCTCCCACTCTGGAAGTAAGTTTTCTCAGCCTTCTTTAAAGCCCAAGGGCAATCCCACCTGCCACCCCTAGCCTACCAGCAGCCTTCTTCCTTTGGGTTTTTGTGCAAACGTTGCCTGTATCAGGCAGGCATTTGCTCCTAGTCCACCTAAAAAATACTCTACACTGCAGAGCAGGAGCGCCCCACATGAAGCAGATAGCTACGCCACTCACTCCTCAGGAGCTCTTCCTCCGCTGGGCTTTCCCAATACATTCGTCTTGCCTCCTCATCAGTTTCCTGGGAGGCAAGGAACTGGCCATCAAGGAAGATGGTTTCATAAAAAATGGCAGAAATATTACTCTGAGATTAGGAAAGAAAATTACCCCACTTACCAAAAATTAATTCACTGGCATAAGTAGGGAGCACCCTCGTGGATAAAGCAGTGGCTTGCAAATGAAGAGGACAGAACCTGCGAAAAGGCATCAGTACCACTGGGAGGGATGTTTTGCAAACTACGCCCTCCTGACATTCCACCTCACTCCCCACAGGGACGAAAGACATCACTCTAACCTCTGTGGGGGCTATGAAAGAAGTATGATACACAGCATCCATAAAACAATTGGAAAATAGTACAACAAATCTGTATATAATGAAGTACTAAACTCTGAAGTACCAACTATAAATACTAGAGGAGTTCAAACAAAGGAGGCAGAAAGAAGAAGGAGGTGGACTCAAAGCTGGGAACCACTGGAAGAGATGGAATAGAAGAGAAGGTGAGAAGGAGGGGTGGATGCAGACGTCAGGCTGGGCTCACAGTTGAGCCAAGGCCCAAGAATGCTGGGCGGTCAGGAAATGGGCAGATGGACAAGAGGGGTGTGTTTTGGAGCAGTGGCAGTGAGTCATTATGGAATGAAGCTTCAGTGCTTTACTTACAAGGGGAATTCCAGACATCAGCCTGGAAAATGACGCTACACAGGTGCTGCCTTGGCTGTGCGCATAGGGCTGTGCACTGTTGTTCATATGAGGGGCTGAAGTGAGGTCATAGGTGTGAGAAGCATTTACTTGGCTACAAGTAACCTGACCCATGGCGATGTTGGACAAGCACTGACGTTCACCATTTGAGCCCCACTGCAAGCCCTTGATGGCATCTAACTAGTTTTGTACAACCTGCTGAACCATACAAAGATATTCACTGGGGGCCCATCCCCTCCAGGCCCTAAAAATCATACTATTTCTCACCTTCACACTGTGTAACCACCCTCTATAACTAGAACATTTGCTAGTCTCTTCTCTGCATAAAAGTGATGATTCATATCTCTTTCATCTCTGTTGGGGGTTCTGACCTATGTACTTGTAATTCAGTCCTCATGTTTAAATTCTACACAAATTTAAATTTAGGGTGTTGAGTGCATAGTGGACACTGTAAATATTTACTAATTGACTAAGTCTGTGGCATTAACCTAAAGCATTATCATTGTGGTTCTCTGAACAGAAGTTTCTTACCAGATTATTACATTGGGCGGAGAGGTACAGGCCTTTATGAGTAATTGCCACGCCACTGTACATCAGGAGAGAAAGCTCACTGTGGCCTGGGCTGTCAGCAGCTTTTGGATATTTAAAGAACATCTCAAAGTTCAAGCAAATAATTATCCATCCAAAAATGAGAGTTTTCACTTTCCACTGCTCAGAGGAGTTACTGTCCCAAGGCATATTTCTTTCACACTTTCCCCATTTGTCTCAAGAACATCTCACTGGGCTCAAAGATCTACTCCAGAAACTGCTGTCTCACAAATAAAGAAATATATTCAAAGCTAAAACAGGATGTTGGAGGTAGCAGAAGAAAGGAAAGGCCCGCAAATAGAAAGTAGATGGAAATCTACCCATTGATTGTTGACATTCAGTTAAATACTGAAATACCATTAGAAGACTCATGATTTCTGCTATTCTCTCCAAAATATACAATGCAACAAAATTGTCTATGGTATTCTCCAACTGACATGAGCTTATTTGGTCCAGAAAATATAAAACTCAATACCATTAACTGTAGTTTAACCTAGATTAAAAGGCTGGTGAAATTATAAAATAAGGTTCCTTTTTTTTTGAGATGGAGTCTCTCACTGTGGCCCAGGGTGGAGTGCAATGGCACATCTCAGCTCACAGCAACCTCCGCCTCCTGGGTTCCAGCAATTCTCCTGCCTCAGCCTCCCGAGTAGCTGGTATTACAGGTGCCCGCCACCACACCTGGCTAATTTTTTGTATTTTTAGTAGAGACAGGGTTTCACTATGTTGGCCAGGCTGGTCTCGAACTCCTGACCTCGTGATCCACCCACCTCAGCCTCCGAAAGTGCTGGGATTACAGGCGTGAGCCACTTTGCCTGGCCAATAAGGTTCCTTTTTAACATCTAAGGAGAATGGAAAAATATTTCTACAAAGATTTCTGCTTCATTGAGATGCTTTCTGTAGATGTACATTGGTGGTGGGGTAGAGAGGCTACTTGCAGGATCTGGACACAGACAGATTTGACCTGAACTGCAGCTACACTACTTACTAGTTGTGTGGCTTCGGGCAAGTGGGAGGATCACTTGAGCACAGAAGATTGAGGCTACAGTGAGCTATGATCGCACTATTGCACTCCAGCCTGGGTGACAGAGTAAGACCCTGTCTCTTAAAAAAAAAAAAAAAAATTAACAACACAATGTGAACTTGGGAGTGGTGTGCTCACCAGAGAAGACAAAGGAGAGACTTCATTCACCAAGGCTGGAAGATCCCAGTCCAGAGCCAAATGTCTGGGTCCTCAAGCCTGGTTAGTCTGGTCTTGACTTGCCTGTGAGCAATCATGATCAATGCTAATTTAAATGTCTTCTACAGGTAACATGGATCACACACACGTTCCTTCTCCCATTCCAGACCATAAGCTCCTCTACCGGCTGCCCAGACAAAATATTAAATCTGTGAACCATAAGTTAGGGTAAAGACTCTCATCCTAGAATCTAGTATTGTTCTTTGGCTCTGATACTGTTATCTTTAAATCACTGTATCTTTATTATTTACTTATTTTTTGAGACAGGGTCTTGCTCTGCTGCCCAGGCTGGAGTGCAGCGGCATGATCTTGGCTCACTGCAACCTCCACCTCCCGGGTTCAAGCAATTCTATTCTCATGCCTCAGCCTCCCGAGTAGCTGGGACCACAGGTGTGCACTACCATGCCCAGCTTAGTTTTATATTTTTCACCATGTTGGCCAGGATGGTCTTGAACTCCTGGCCTCAAGTGATCCACTTACCTCGGCCTCCCAAAGTGCTGGGATTACAGGTATGAGCTACTGCACCCCGCCTTTTATTTATTTATTTTAATTTATAGAGACAAGGTCTTGCTCTGTTACCCAGGCTGGAGTGCAGTGGTGCAATCATAGCTCACTGCAACTCTGAACTCCTGGGCTCAAGTGATCTTCCTGCCTCAGCTTCCCGAGTAGCTGGGACTGCAGGTATGTGCCACCACACTTGGCTAATTAAAATTTCTTGTTGTTGTTGTTGTTGCAGAGATGGAGTCTCACTATGTTTTCCAGGCTGGTCTCCAACTACTGGCCTCAAGTGATCCTCCCACCTTAGCCTCCCACTGTGCTGGAATTATACAGGTATGAGCCACTGAGCCTGGCCAAATCATGATAACTTTAAATGAAGGAACAAAGCTGGATGATAAGAAAATGTCCTATTTGTGTAGCTCTATCGTTTATAAAGTGTTCGTGATTTTAATACATTACCTCATTTACTCCTCAAACATGTCACAGAATGCATTTGTGTTGACAGTGAAGACTGAATGCCTAACTTACTGACAAAGTGCATCCTCCGACATTACCTCATTTGGTGCTCACAACCGCTGTGAGTTACTATTAATGCAGGCAAGGAAACTGAGGACCAGGGACCCTCCCTGTGCCAGGCCCTGGTGAGGCTCTAGGAATACAGAGAAGCAAGGCACCCATCCATCTTATAAGCTGTTTGCAGAGCTGGATGGATTCTGATCACTTCAGCCTTGATAATTCAGCTTTACAGAAGCTCCATGAGGCCTCTCTGCTCATCCATAAGAGACTTAAAGAAATCTGCATTCCTCTTATAAGCTCTTTTGTGGCAAAGTGCTGATTTCTCTTGCGATGTCAGTGCAACATCCAGAATTTATATGTAGAGTCAATAAATAGACTGATGGGTGATATTAATGATAGATGGAGGGAAAGGAACTATGTTTTCTAAATTGGGAAAAATATCCTTGGCTATAATCTACTCGGCATTTTCCATCATCCCACTATTTAGAAGGGTACATTTGTCAACATCATTGACAAGAATGAGCAAGCACTTTATTTACATGATCAGAATAGAGGAGGGAACTGCAGCCAGGATATTTGGAACCTGAGAAGCTAATGTCTACAGTGTGAATACAGTTCAGGCCACACAAGGAGCTGGAAGGGGTTGGAAGCTCAGTTAGCACTGTGGAAAGCCTCCTCTATGGCCCATAGTGGGGCACAGGGTGTTCAGGCCCCAGGGAAACTCCTCAGGACAGAGTGTCTGGCACAGCGTCCAGCAGGGAAAGAGCTCAATAAATGCCTGCTGAACTCTGAATTTTTCTCATTCTCTGAATGAGAAAAAAGAACATTTCCCAGCTGTGAGGACTCTAGCACAATCACATAATCCTAGGAATATTGTATGTCCCTCAATTTTTAGGAAATAGTAATGACATAATTGAATACATGAGAAAAAGTAATAGGATGCCAAACAATATATGTAGAAATTTGCTAAAATTTGCCTGGGTGCCATGGCGCACATCTGTAATCCCAGCACTTTGGGAGGCTGAGGTGGGTGGATCACTTGAGCTCAGGAATTTGAGACCAGCCTGGGCAACATGGTGAAACCCCATCTCTACAACAAACACAAAAATTAGCTGGGTGTGATGTAGTCCTAACTACTGGGAAGGCTGAGGTGGAAGGATCACTTGAGTCTAGGAGGTGGAGGCTGCAGTGAGCCCAGATCCTGCCACTGCAATCCAGCCTGCGTGACAGAGTGAGACTGTCTCAAAAAAGAAAAAACAAGAAATTTGCTAACATGTATAATTCCATGTTAAGTGACTAAAACAAGGAGCAGAACAACATGTACAATATGCTACCAGTTATATAAAAAAGAAAGAAAAAGAATATAGATGCATACACATTTGCTGGGACACACATAAAAGATCTCTGAAAAAATATACAAGATACTAGTAACATTGAGTGCTTCTTGGGAGGAAGTTTTCCACTCTTTACTATGTTGTACCTTTTGAATGTTATAACACATGAATGCGTTATCTGTCAAAAGTAAACAAATACCTCTACTGGACAGACTACCCAGTTTCTCCAACAAATTACAGGGAAAAGAAGAAAAAAGAAAAGAAAAGGGGACCTATAGCTTAAAAGAGACATAAATGGTAGAGCAATCAATCATAATGTCTAATCCTTACTTGAATCCTAACTCACAAAAATTAAGCTTAAGGAGAAAAACACTTATGCCATTTTTAAACAATTGGAAATTTGAACAATGATGATATTTGATGATATTAAAGGATTAGTGTTAATTTTTCAAAGAGTAATAATGGGTGTTTAACAAAGGAGTCTTTATATTTAAGAATTATCATGGAAATATTTACAGATGCAACTATATGATGTTTGGGATCTATTTCAAAATTAATGTGAGCTGGGAGAAGTAGCTAGGAAGACAGAGTAAATGTGAGTGGTTATGAGTTGATTATTGTTAAAGCTGGGATGGGTTTTGTGGGGCTTGGAGGTTCATTATATGATTCTCTCTACTTCTGTATATCTTTAAAATTCCCAGAATAAAAAGCTAATAAATGAATGAGTGATTATTTAGCAATATGACAAACAGTCCTGCTAGTCACAAAGGCCCAAGCTCACCCCAACTTTCAGCTGCGATCAAGCCTCTACTGTCCCTGGGCTGATGAGTTGCCTGTGGAAAATAAACTTGAGGCTGCTGCCAGCTACTGCAATTCTGGCAAGAGTTTAGGTCACGCAAATATCAACAAGAAACCTTTATCACTCACTCCAAAAATAAACAAACAAAAAGAAACAGAGAAATTAGTTTTGGAAGTCTTCCTTTCATTAATGTAGAAGGTAAGTGTTGGCTGCACGTACAAACGGGTATGATGACTTGTACCTGCTCCCCTGTAAAGTGTCTTTCCCAAACCCATAAGTAACTTTTGTCACTCTCTTTGGGAGTGTTTCTCAAGTTCTCCAAATAACTTTATCACTTTCAGGGTCCGAACAGACAGGACCTCAAGGCAGAAAACCAATTATGTCAATTAACTCTTCAACTCAGCTAATATTTCTCAAATGGTCAGCACATGGAAAGGAGCCATATGAATGACACAAACATGACTGGAAACCTCTGTCTGCCTCCCAGAGCTTCGATTCCTGCACTGGGGTCTTTCAAACTCAGGTACCAAATGGCTTCCTCTGAGGGGAAAAACTAGTCCTGCCAGATGCCCCTGGTTACATTACTTTGTGTTCCATTCTTAAATTTAAATTAAACTACTTTTATCCAACTATTATTTATTATATTATTTCTTAAAATGCACAAACAGTACAAATAGTACTCAGTATGGAGCATAAACTTCCTTTGGCACTTTTACGATTACAGAGATCCAGGCACATTTATAAAAACATAAAATTACTCAAACAGTAAATTCAGATGAGCTACATTAATGTAATGAGACTAATGCCATTTTTCAGACCTGAAATACCTGCAGACAATGTCAGTGTGGTCCTGCCTGTGCCTGGGCAGGTTCTATGGATCCCGAGAGCCTACACTGACAGGTACAGTGTGACAAGTCCATTCTCACACTCCTTTTCTCGCTGGGACCACTGCTACAGCCTTCATTTACACAGTGCTGTGTGGTATCATTTGACTTCACATGATGCTCTCATATCTTTTCTGCGCGAAGTTCATCTCTGTATTTTTCTCTATAGTGGGGTTTACCTGGCTTCAATTCATCAGAAATTCACATACAAACGGGGGAGGCACTGAGACGACGTGGGTGCACCTTGATATTATAATTAGGTATCCCAACATTCCAGGACAGGCTTGTAAAACATTTTCAATTATCATTAACACGAAACCAAAACGTCTGAGTTTGTAATCTAATGAGAACCCAAGGAACCTCAAGGACACATCCTCAGCCCTGGATTGGGAAATCCATAGCACAAAATGAATGTGATGGTGCTACACGAGGAAAGCAAAAAGTGTGGTGGGGACACGGAAGAGAGGTCATGCTGTATCTCAGAAGCCATCTGGGCCATTACCGGGCATACCAAATCATGGATTTAGTAAGTTTAAGTACATGCTTCCAAAGAACTTATGTGTAAATACCACTGAAGAGCCTTACTTAATTCCAGCAGGTTGCTGGGGTCTCACCTCAGCCCCCTCCCACTCCTCAGTCCTTAAGAACTAAAACGTGGCACTTCAAACATGACAAATCCAGGCTTCAGGATTCAAAGAACGATTTCCAGTATAAGTTCACCTCACTATAAGGTGCTACAATTGCATATCAACATTGTGTAGTCTGTACCACCTGAAAAACTGGGCGCAAAGCCCCGCCAAATGCTGCTGCAGTTAGGTTAACTAAACTAAATCAATGGCCTGATTTCCCAGAAAAAGAGTAACGAGCATTGTTTAAGGAAACTGCAAAAGAGGAACCTCTCCTTGAGTAGAATCCTCGACTTTAGGCCCTCCCAAACAGCATAATTCAATGGCCATTAACTCAACCTTTTTAGTAAGCTAAATATGTCCTGGTTAGAAGGTGCTCTTTAATCTGAGATATTGATCTTCCAACATTTTTGGTGCTAAAATATCTTTTTTTTTTTTTTTTTTTTTTGAGACACAGTCTTGCTCTGTCACCCAGGCTGGAGTACAGTAGCTCAATCTTGGCTCACCGGAACCTCTGCCTCCCGGGTTCAAGTGATTCTCCTGCTTCAGCTTCCCGAGTAGCTGGGATTCTGAGTGTGAACCACCATGCCCGGCTAATATTTTGTATTTTTAGTGGATATGGGGTTTCATCATGTTGGCCAGGCTGGTCTCGAACTCCTGGTCTCAAGTGATCCGCCTGCCTCGGCCTCTCAAAGTACTGGGATTACAGGTGTGAGCCACCGCACCCAGGCTAAAATATCTTTTTAGATGACAGGGCTTTTGTATTTCCTTATTTGTTTTTGTTGTTGTTGTTGTTGCTGTTTTGAGACGGAGTCTTGCTCTGCCGCCCAGGCTGGAGTGCAGTGGTGCGATCTTGGCTCACGGCAGCCTCTGCCTCCTGGGTTCAAGTGATTCTCCTGCCTCAGTCTCCCAAGTAGCTGGGACTACAGGCGCACACCACCATGCTCAGCTAATTTTTGTATTTTTAGTAGAGACGGGGTTTCACCATGTTGATCAGGCAGATCTCAAACTCCTGACCTCAGGTGATCCGCCCGCCTCGGCCTCCCAAAGTGCTGTCACTACAGGCGTAGTGACACCAAGCCCTGCTGTATTTCCTTATTTGAAAGAATTAAAATGTAGCAATCCATGTTGGGCTTCCTGATTTTTGTTTTTTATTGCCCTCATTGACATGACTAAGTAAACAGTACACAAATACATGCCTACAGTGACTGTACACATAGGGAGGCAATCTTTCAAAGCTTCTCTTTTATCCAAGATAAAATGAGAGGCTGAGGCAGGAAAATCGCTTGAACCCGGGAAGCAGAGGTTGCAGTGCACCGAGATCGGGCCACTGCACTCTAGCCTGGAAAAAGTGGAACTGATAACACCACCTCCCTCTCCTCACCTTATGTAACACAGTATCTGTGGTACAACTGACTAATAATGTGGGGGCTCTGCAATGAGCAAAGGCCAGAAGGTAAGGACTCTAGATTAGACTAATAGACTAAAGATTCCATTCAATTTCCAGGTGGCTCTAAACCAGACTCAGAGGTAAATAAAAGCAAGACGAAGGTTAAGGCACATTCAAAGGAAAGAGGAAAAAAAACCCGAGAGGCAAGACCTGGGAGCCACTGAAGACTATAAGACCATGTTTAAATCAGTGTGGTTATTTTAAACATAAGCCTAGCCATAGAAAGTTCAAATACGAAGAACCTTGAAAACTTTCTTCTTAGAGTCGGCATCAGTGGAACCCTTTGTTAGCGAGGCCAGGTCAGGCTCAGACCTTGGAAGTTTAAAGCGGTTTGGAGATCTTGGGAAATACTTTCAAGGACAGCAACAAAATTACGTGTGGGCTTGGGGAAGACGCTTTACAGAGGAGCAGGTGTGAGAGCTGGTTTTTCCTGGGGTGAGAGAAAAGAAGGGGTGAGACACTTAAAGCTACCCAAACAGAAAGTGCTGTGACAAAGGGCAGGCTTCCTCTTGGACGCCCAAAGGCAGGACAAATGGAGTGATGCTGTGGTGCAGGAGACGGGATGAAATGCAACAGAGATGCTGGAAATGAGGCCAGGCACGGTGGCTCACGTCTGTAATCCCAGCACTTTGGGAGGCTGAGGCAAGAGGATCACCTGAGGTCAGGAGTTTGAGACCAGCATAGTGAAACCCTGTCTCTACCAAAAATACAAAATTAGCTGGGGGTGGTGGCGTGTGCCTGTAATCCCAGCTACTTGAGAGGCTGAGGCAGGAAAATCGTTTGAACCCGCGAAGCAGAGGTTGCAGCGAGCCAAGATTGCGCCACTGCACTCCAGCCTGGGAGACAAAAGTGAGACTCTGTCTCAAAAAAAAAAAAAAAAAAAAAAAAGAATGAAAAAAGATGCTGGAAATGTGACTTGGGGAGGCCAGGAAGCTTCTCTGGAGAACAGAGAGCAAACGGCAAACTTTCCCTGGAAATGCTAGCACATTCTGCACAGACGGCAAGGCGAAGAAGGGCCCAAGGACCAATGCGTTCCTCACTCTCCAGTGCCCCAGCTCTCCCTTCTCAGCTGACCTTTAGAAGCTCCCCTGCACCTCCCCCGGGCTCTCACAGAAAAGAAAAATATTTGCCTCCAAATATTCACAAGATCTTTAAGATCTCCAGCAAAGCTGCTGCCTAAATAAGACTGTTTTTTAGCATCCTTAGAAACAGAAAACAGATATCTAAAATAGACGGCCTTCATAAAAAATGACGTGGAAGCTCTTTTCACACTGCCAAGAAATATTAAGTGAAAAAGGCAAGGTTCCAAATAGCATGTATGCAGTGTGCTACCATTTCTGCAAAAAGGGGTGGTGTACAGAATATGTTTAACGAATTTGCTTACAGATGTATAAAATCCCTTGGAAGTTCAGGGACCACTTCTGGAGGATGAAGAAATCGCTAATACTGGTTGCCTCTGAGGATCAGGGGTCAGGGGTACACACAGATGTATTTACTAGTTAACCTTTTGTGCCTTTAAAAAATTTTCTTTCATCATGTGAATGTATTGCCTATTTTTAAAAACTAAAATTTGAATTAAAAAATTTTAAAATTTCTATTAAAAACAATTTTAAAACAAAATAGTTTTTAAGCAACAAACCAAACTAATTTGTTAATCTTGTCAACTGTGTTCCTGGCACACACCAGATGCTTAATTTGTTGAACTTAATGAACCTCCACTTAAAGACAACAAAAGAAAATCAGAAACCAGGCAAATCCAAGGGTACCAACGTTCCACTTCTCTAAAAAGCTCTTCACCTGTCTGCTATTTATTGTGAAAGATCAGACAATGAGTCGGTGTGTAACAAGCCCCTCACCCAAATGGCCCCAGTCCACAAGCTTCAGGGGTAATGGTGGAGCTTATCGTCTGTCCACACCAACCATTTTACAAACAGAAAACATTCAATCCAAAAATATGATGCCCTGGACAAGACAACAAAAATCAATCTGCAGATATGAAAATCCTGAAAGGAGATAATGTAGCATCTGTATGGTATCAACAAAGAAACAGCAGCACAGGGCTTAAAAATGTCCTACTCATGCACTGGCCAAAAAGGCTGAACCATGAAAAGCTGCTATAAAATCCTGACACCAGACACATTTAAGAGGCACCCTGAACTTCTCATTGCTCTGTTCCTGGGGATAGCTTAGCCCAAGATGAAACAGAAAGGCTAAAGCAACTCATGCCCCACATCATCTATACTCTGAAACTGGTCATGGAGTACTCAAAACTCACAATGCAATAAAAATGGGAATACTGTAAGCTGTAGGTCATGGTAGAAATTCTGCCACACAAAATTCAATTATATTGGAAATGTCTCTCTCCTGGGGCTTTTAAAAGAGCCAGATTTTAGGCAAAAAATAAGACAGACTCTACCCCTGTCTCCCATAAGACCAAAGAAATTATTTCCTGCTCGGGGCAGGAGCTCTGAACAAGGGCAGTGAGAACCACTACAGAGGTTATGGGTCCTGCCGGAGATTACCAGGAAAAGGCGTAAATGCTTAAAGCAACGAGTAACAGCAAATGAGAAGCTCATCCACCAAAATACTGAGAAAAGAGAGTGAGAAAGAGAGAAAGGGGCCCATATTAATACACAAGCAAAGAAATGAAAACTATTATTCTAAAATGGCTGATCTCTAGAACAGCTTAAACAAAAACCGAAATTCAGAATCAACTCAAGAAAAATAAAGCATGAGAAGGTGCCATTTAATGAAGTGATAATCTTTGGTTCAATCTAGAAAACAAGTAAAAACAGAAGAGAAAATCAAAGGTGACTGGATTCCTGCAAAAAATGAAAGTGGCAGGCATCTTTTCATCAAAAGGGAATTGGCTGGCACACTGAGAGTGCCTATTTGTCAGACCCACGCAGGCGATAAAGGAAATGAAGGTGAGAGTAAAAAGGGAAAAAAGTGAACGACCCTGACTAAAATGAGAGGAAAAAGACCATTCCCTTGTACTTGCCATCTGGTTTATTTCAAGCTTTGGAAAAGAACAGGAAAAACACAGATAAACCAGTGAACCAGCTAGATTGCCAGCACGGATCAGTCACACACTTTTGCTTCTGCCAGGCCAGGCAGGCGCTGCTGGTGCTCCCCCTATTCGAATGACTAAGTAACTTCCTTAAATGCAGTTGACACATGATCCCTGAACTTCCGAAAAGCACTTAATACAGTGGCTCATAAAATCTTAATCTAAAAATGTTCATCCATTTAGAATCAAGCTGCATCACACTCATCGCTTGGGAGGAGGGCTGAAGAGAGGGAATACATATTTGGAAGGACACCATGGACACGGGTATCATCCAGGACTTTACCATTTCGAGGGATTCCCACCCCTCACTGCCTGCTTTTAACGATAATTTTAAAGGGTTCAGAGCCTAAGAAGAATGTAACTGCAAGGGGGAACTAACATAGAAACTAAATTACCTGAATCACAAAAATAAGTAAGGTATAAAATGCAACGTGACTTGGAAACCCCTTGCAGCTGTCTGTGTTAAAATGAAATCTGGAATATGTTAAATGAATTTGGGGGTGGGGGGAAGGGGACTGGGGGAAAAATTAGCTCTTGATAGAGTATTGGGTGGTGGATATGAAGAAAAATGTACAAAAAGGCAACAGAATATCATATCTAGCAAATCTATTGTGCTTACCCTGTGCCAGGTACTGTTCTAAATGCTTCAGATGTAGTAACTCCATGCACTTCTCAAAACAATCTTCTAACATAAGTATCATTATTATTTCTGTTTTAGAGGTGAGGAAACAGAGGCACAGAGAAGTTAAGTAGCTTGCCCAAGGTTGTACAGCCAGTAAGAGGCAGGGCTGGGATTCAAATCCAGGCACTCAGGCACCAAAATCTGTCCTCCTAACCTCTCTGGACTCCCCTAGAACTTAAAACACTGAGAATGGGCAAACTAAGCTTGGAGTGAAATAAGTCATGCACTGGCTAGATCTAAATACAGTCAAGAGATCAACCCTTAGTCATGGGCCTGTGATGACCAACCAGCCCTGTGACCACCCCAGGCCTCAGTTTCCTCACCTGTGCATTGAGGAGACTGAATGAGAGTCCACCTAATTAGACTTAGATAGAGATGAGCTCTATCTAAGGTGCCTTCAGCTCTAAAATGTCACAGTCCGTGCTGACTACCAGCTGTATATGGACTGCTTTCTGACTAGATGTTCAAAGATTAATTCATCCTAAAACACACAGCAAGGTGTGTTAAGATTCTTTCTCTGCCTCCTGACCTTTAGATTATTATGTTCTCTCTATTCCGGCAAATGACAGAGGGTAGTGAAGGATTTCTCTTTTGGACTCTGCTTAATGTGGCTGTAAGGAAACGGCCTTCGAAAAGCTCTGGGCACAGATCTTGTTGACTCTGCCAAACCTGCAGTCTCTCCAGGTCCCTCTGTGGAGCCTGTTCTTGGAACATGCCTTTGGATTTGGTTACTGGAATGCAGGTGAAACTGACAAACTGGAGGTCCAGCAACCAAAAAAGAGAGATTGGGAAGATTAAGAGAGCGGTCCATGGTAGTTCAAATACAAGGAGTTTCACAGTGGCTAAATAAACCTCTATCTTTTTGTATAATCCAGTCTCTTTGCTAACACCCACTCTTGAGAGCTGAAACCTCAAAATTCATTATGGGTGAATTCAACAGCCACTTGGAACCTAATGGACCCCCAGAAGTACTCTTCTCAAGCTAGGCATCAAAGGCCACTTAGAGTGCATTTGTGGGTAGAGAAGGCCCTTACAGATGGGTCATGCAGTCCTCCCTTGGGAGTCCTAAGCATCCGACACAGGTGGCTGTCATCAGGCCACTGCTTGGACATCGCCAAGGTCGAGGCGCTAGCTGCCCGGCCTGGCAGGCAGCCTCCTGCGCTGCTGGACAGCTCTAGCTGTGGGAAAAGCTCACGAAGGGCCTAGAACAGTGCCGGTCGCGGGGCCGAACTCGGTAAATGTGCTTCCAAGTGGGTCAAAAGCTGCCTTTCTAGAACTTAAACCCACTGGTCCTGCGTGAGCCCCTGGAGCCCCGAAACACAGAGGCCTCTCGGGTATCTCGGGCTGTAATCAGGCCCCTCGGCCCTCTCCTTCCAGGTGCGGATCCCGGACCTTCTTCGCCGAGCCTGAACCGGCAGACCCCTCCCCAGGCCCCTGAAGACCCAGGAGTGAGCACCAATGGGGGAAAGGCCGCGGTCGGGGTTGTCCCCAACCTCGGTTCCTCGGGCAGAAGGGGACAAAGGGCCTCAGGAAGGCGTATCCCCCGCCGCGATCTGGGCTGTCCCCACCACTGGGCAAGCCAGCCCCTGGGACCCCCACGGCGCCAGATGACAGGCCCCCCAGGATCCCCTCAGGCTGCGGCGTGATGGGCCGAGCTACGCCGGGGACCTCGGGGCTCGGAGATTCGGTTCGACGGGTCCGGGGTGCGATCCCCGCTCCGCGGAGCTCGCTCGGCCGTGGCTTTACCTGCGTGTGATTGACTACAGGTGCTCAGCTCGCCCCCAGTCTGGTTCCTGCAGCTCCCCGGCTGCCAGCGGCGCTCATGGATATACAGCCGGAACCCCTGGCCAGTGCAGCTCCCGCCGCTACCGGCCCCGCCCAAGTAACTGCCGCCACGCCCCTGACGACCGCTTCTGCCACGCCCCTAACCACGGAAACCGCTTGTTCATTGGGCAGTTCAGCCGCTTCTCCACTTGCCCCGCGCGCTCATTGCGTCTAGGAGGGGATCCATTGATCAGCGAAGCTGTTCCTCAGAGTGGAGGCGGGATTCTTAGGGGAGAGCTCCTCAGCAATTGGTTACATTTGACGGCTTTAGTCCAGGGACCCAGACGCTACTGGATAAGGCCAGCCCGGAGTGGGCGGGGAAAGGGGAGGAGGGCTAGAAGGTGGGTCGTGTTTGATGTCGATGGGGGCGGGGTGAAGAGACGGGTAATTGTGACCGCAAACTGCTTTAGAGGGCTGGGTAAGGTCAGCTGTCGACTGGGCTCAGAGGAATGAGGTCGGCTGGTAGCTCAGCTGCTGGTAGCTCAGCTGGGGCTCTTATGGGTCCAGGCCGACTGACTGACTCACGTGTACTCAAATTTCGCAGGGGTGAAATTTGAGGTCATATCCCGGGAGAGAGGAAGAAGGGTCGTGAGTCACCGAACCCGAAGGAGAGGAAAAGATGTGGAGGCAGCGGTCTATGGCCTCTTCCAGCTCCGGACGGGGGATGGGGACGCTCTGGGCAATACGGGCCTCAGTTATTGTCCCACTGTCCTTTCAACCCTTAACCAACCCAGTTGGAGGCCGCCTGGAAGAATGTAGCCTTGGAACTAGGGCCTGGAATTGGGGCTCCTACCGGTTGTGTGGGCTTGGGCAAGTCACTTAACCTTCCCGCATGCTCCCTTCACTTGGCAACTGAGGGTAACAATAGTAGTTGATGAGAAGATTAAATAAACTCTGATAAATGCCAACAGTGGCTGGCACTCAACAGGCATTCAATCAAGGCTGATTCTTCCCCCATCACCCACTCACCTCATCCGGCTGGGAAACTAGGCCCATTTCTAAAATTCTATGAGCCTGAAACTGCTTTTGCAATGGCATGTCGTGTACCAAGAATAGAACACTTGAGCGACTTGAAATGCAACCCCTGTAGGGCAGACAAGGCCACCCTACCAAGGCCCCATAGGGCTCGGAGAGAGGGAGCAGGGGATGAAATGAGAGGAGCGATTTAGTCAGAGAAGGGAAGTGGCATTTGTTACCATGTAAATTTTTCCCAACATATTTCAGGTTGTGACAAGGAACAGTGGGCTGGCTCAAGTTTTATGGAGCGTAACCAAATAACATCCTTTGAAGGCTGATCAGCACCGGACCAGAAATCATTGCATGAGCTCTATCTGTCAGAGACCCCTGAAACCCATTCCCCATTCTGAAGGTGTAGACATCACAGAGTGTGGACAGAAATAGCTTCTCAGGCCTGAATGTAGCCCCAGACCCTTTGTGTCTGTCTTTGAAAGAACTCACAGCCATGGTACATCAGAGTGAAGGAGAAGAAAGAATCCTTTGCCATTGCTCTATTTTTCATTCAGTTGTCATGTTACCTTGAAAAAAAAAGGTTTCATCTCAGTGTTTATATATTCCTCTGTATTCTCTTTCATCTTGGAAAAGAAAAACCCAGGCTTCAGTAGCAAAGTCTCTTAGTGATGAACCCCATCGTCCTGACTCTGAGTTAAAACAGTTTGGACTTCCAAAAAAGAGCTTTAGATTATCACTAGATAAGTATATAAGGTAATGCATATGTTAACTAGCTTGGTGTAGCTATCCCACAATGTATACATGTATCAAAACATGGACCGGTACAGTGGCTCACGCCTGTAATCCAACATTTTGGGAAGCTGAGGCGGAGCCCAGGAGTCTGAGACCAACCTGGGCAACATAGTGAGACCCCGTCTCTACAAAAAATTTAAAATTTAGCCTGATGTGGTGGTGCATGCCTGTAGTCCCAGCTAGTGGGGAGGCTGAGGCAGGAGGGTTGTTTGAGCCCAGGAAGTTGAGGCTGCAGTGAGCTGTGATCGCACCACTGCACTCCAGCCTGGGCCACAGAGTGAGACCTTGTTTGACAAATAAACATAATAACATGATAAACATAAATAAGTAAAGCATGTTGTACATCATAAATATATACAAATTTTGTCAATTAAAAATTAATAATAATTTAAAAAATAGGCTGGGCACAGTGGCTCAAGCCTGTAATCCCAGCACTTTGGGAGGCCAAGGCAGGAGGATCACCTGAGGTCAGCAGTTCCAGACCAGCCTGGCCATCATGGTGAAACCCCATCTCTACTAAAAATACAAAATTAGCTGGGCATGGTGGCACACACCTGTAATCCCAGCTACTCAGGAGGCTGAGGCAGGATAATCGTTTGAACCCAGGAAGCAGAGGCTGCAGTGAGATTGCACCACTGCATTCCAGCTTGGATGACAGAGTGAGACTCTGTCTCAGAAAAAAAAAAACAAAAAAGATTTGTCACTAGTTTTGGAGGGGTGTGTACACATATCTATGTACACATTTGGTTCTGATCCACAGTTTTCTGGTTCTTGTCTTTAAACAGTGCTGCTTGGTAGCCATACACATGGCTGCATGCATGTTACGGAAATAGGCCCAGCCCAATACAGGTTTGCTTCTGCCTGTGTTTGCTAAGGGAAAGTGAGATGTCTTGTTAGGCCCTGAAAAGCATGAAGTGGCTCCTGAGATCCAGGATGATTTCTCCAACTTGATTCAGAGCCACAAAAAGCAGCTGTTAGGAGTAGATTGCAGATGGGCTCGCCATTGTGTAAATGGCTTTTTTCTCCCATCTCAGGAACATAGGTTCAGCCACCAGTTCCAGAAAAGGACATCTTTCCAGTTCAGGAATTCTAAAACACAATTATGTCACAGAGGCTCAAAAAGAGGCACAGACTGAGCTCAGGAAGAGGAGGAAGAGTAAAAGGATCCGGGCATCTTCTCTGCAGCTCTGGCAGGCTTAAAGAATGATCCATTATCATTTCCCAGCACACAGAACTGTTTCCTTAATTGTCTCTGGTTTCTGTTTCCTCCCTTCTGCTTGCAGTCTTGCCATATTCTGTTTAATCATATTATTTCATTCTATAAATCATTTCTGAGGGAGGCCATTTAGGAGACAAAATGGACTTATTTTTGCCTTCAAGTTTAGTGGCCCGTTGGGATTGAGGATTTGGTGAGCCTTGGCCTGAGATAAGCAGGTGTTGGGATGTGGCTGTAAAGTGAATTTTCAAAACCGTGACAGTACCTTGTAATAAAAAAGAACAAGGGAGAGGGTATGCCCCAGTCACCTTCTGGGATGGCCAAAGCTGCAGGACTTCATTAAAGCAGAACTGCTTCTAACTCAACTGGGGCCTCTGCAGGATTTACTAACCTGAGAAAGTCAAGGTACTCTGGGAGACAGCAGGGAGCAGTGGTTGGAGCAGATAATATGTTCTATTTATTCTTTTAAGGAAAATCAGCAATTCACTCAGTTTGTCATTTTTGTTATTCTGTGTCCTCGGGGGATGGTTCAGAGAAAGGGGATTTGGAAGCTCTACTGCTGGGGATTGGATCCTGATTCCATCCTTCCTAGCCTTGTGACCTTGGGCGAGTACAGCACATCTCTGTGCCCTACTTTCTTCTGTAAAACGCAGAGGACAGTGAAGTGCTTGTCTCATGGGGTCCTTTGAGTGGCAGATGAGTTCACAGATGCAAAGTGCATCAAACAGTACCTGGCAAATACCTAAAAATGTTTAATAAATGTTTGCCACAGCTATTATAGGAGCCCATTTCAGAACCTTCCTCTAAGGTCCTCACTCATTTTCTAAGTTCTAGCCCTCAGAAGTAGTGATCACAGGATTCAGGATTTTTAGAAAATATAGATAGACTTTATTTTTTAAAGCAGTTTTAGGGCCAGGCGCCGTGGCTCATGCCTGTAATCCCAACACTTTGGGAGGCTGAGGTGGGCGGATCACTTGAAGCCAGGAGTTTGAGACCAGTCTGGTCAATTGGCGAAACACCGTCTCTACTAAAAATACAAAAATTAGCTGGGTGTGGTGACGTGTGCCTGTAATCCCAGCTACTTGGGAGGCTGAGGCAGGAGAATCGCTTGAACCTAGGAGGCGGCGGATGCAGTGAACCAAGATCGTACCACTGCACTCCAGCCTGGGCAACAGAGGGAGACTCTGTCTCTAAATAAATAAATAGTTTTAGGTTTATAACAAAATTAAGTGGAAAGTACAGACAGTTCCTATATACACACTCTCCAACACATGCAGGATTTTTTTTTTTTTTTTTTTTACACTAGCAAAATCTCACCACCTGGTGCGAGAAACTTTTCCTTTCGAATATGGTTACCAAAAACGGTTTGAGGACCGAGTTAAGGTTTTTGAGACTAGACCTCATCAGTGTAATCACTGTGAGGGAAATGGAAAGGATGAGGCTAAGAGAATAATAGTAAAAGCTGCAGCCTGGAGGTTCATAAAGTATTCCTGCAGTCATGACATGGTGCAGTCTGAGGGATCCAATATTGTGGCTTTATTGTCACAGCCGGTGCAGTCTGCATGCAGTCTAGGAAGGAGGTTCAGAATGTCCTGTTACCAGGTCGACTGTCTGGCTTCTTATTGGTAATGGAGATGAAGTTTGTTTAGAGGCTTTAAGTCCCAGCATGCAATAGTTCCATGAGGACAAACTATGATGAAATTCAAAAATGTGGTCCTTTTGTTATTAGAAAAGGCTTTCTGGTGGCCAGTGAAAACGATCATGAAAAATAATCTTGTCTGTGATTTGAGCTGCTTTCTTAAGCTATATGTGAGTTGTCTATAGTAAAATCATAAGATGAACACTCCTGGCTTATGTATGTTGTCCTGGCAAAATTTTAATAGTGCCCTCCCTCCCACCAGGTGACTCTCAAATAGTCCCAATTTGGTTGATAAATTTTATGGTAATATTTATACTTACATATATAGGACCCAGTACTAAAAATGCTCATGAAACACACAAACACACATACACGCACGTGCACGCGCGCACACACACAGATGAAAAAGTGTTCTAATCTTATAATCAGATACATACAGAATATCTGACAGGTGACTGGCTAATGATGACTTCTTCTTAGTCACCATGCATTCCTCTTCCTGATGTCATTCTTAATTACAGAAATAAAAATTGAGTTTTTCATACTATTAATTGCAAAACAGTCGATAAAACTTGTGCATTAAATAAGCTCATCATACACCCTTTCCTACATAATTTTATGTTATTGAGCTATTTTAAAACTATTTCCGGAGAAGGCGAGATGCAGTGTAAAAAAATAACAACAACTACAAAAAACCCACAAAAAAACAAAAACAGGCCGGGCACAGTGGCTCACACCTGTAATCCCAGCAGTTTGGGAGGCCCAGGCGGGTGGATCACTTGAGGTCAGGAGCTCGAGACCAGCCTGGCCAACATGGTGAAACTCCGTCTCTACTTAAAATACAAAAATTAGCCCAGCGTGGTGGCAGGCGCCTGTAATTCCAGCTACCTGGGAGGTTGAGGCAGGAGAATCGCTTGAACCTGGTAGGCGGAGGTTGCAGTGAGCCAAGATTGCACTGAGATTACACCATTGCACTGCAGCCTGGGCAACAGAGTGAGACTCCGTCTCAAAAACAATAACAAACAATTTCCATCTTTCCAGAGACCCCTATATTATTTTACCATATATTTAAATTAATTTACAAGACAGTAAACATTTTTTACTGAGCAAGACATCTAATACTAGAAAGACAGAATCATGAAGTCCCATTCATTCCTAGGTGGGGATGGATATAGGACAAATGGGAAATATTGACGAGATAACTCAAAGGACTGAGCAATAAGCACAGAGTGCAATCAGTGTCAGCAATAATTATTCAGAGGAGGCAGCAATTTCTTCTGACTTGGATTCTTGGAGATTTGAATTGGTTTTTGAAGGTCTATGGGCTGAATTTGGTAGGGCAGCATTGGCGGTGAGGGAGCATGGCATTCCAGGTAGGCCTGTGAGTGGATGAACACAAGATAGTTTGTCCATAGCAGAGTCAAATAGGGACCCAGTAGGCGAGAAGATGAAAAAAATGGATGGGGCTGGTGGTGGAGGCCAGATAATGCCTTCATCTTAGTTAATGGCTTCGTCTCAGCCCCTTGGGTATTTGGATATCCTCGCATAGTTGCAGAGCAAACATCCCAAACTCCAGGCATCTGCAAACCACATTGATAATTTTGACCCTATCTCTGTACTCTCTGCTTTATTATTTACTTAATAATGTTATTAAATTGACTCAACTTTTAAAATTAAATACCTTATTCAGCCCCATCCTAAACCAGTGGTTCTCAACTGGGGGCAGTTTCATCCCTCAGGGGACACTTGACAATGTCTGTGGTTGTCACAACTGCAGGGGTGCTGTTGACCTCTAGTGGGTAGGGGCTAGAGATGCTGCTAACCACCCTCCAGTGCCCAGGACAGCCCCACAACAAAGAATTATCCCAAATGTCAATAGTGCTGAGGTTGAGAAACCTTGTGGGCCGAAGCAATAATATATGTGATATTGCAGGCTTAAAGTGTGATTATAGTTATTCTAATTACATTAAAATCATTTCATAAGGATTACATTTTATTATTTTTATTTATTAATTTTTTGAGACAGAGTCTTGCTCTGTTGCCCAGGCTGGAGTACAGTGGCACGACCTTGGCTCACTGCAACCTCCATCTCCTGGGTTCAAGGGATCCTCCCACCTCAGCCTCCCGAGTAGCTGGGATTACACGCGTGCGCCACCACGTCTGTCTAATTTTTGTGTGTGTGTTTTTAGTGGCCAGGCTGGTCTTGAATTCCTGACCTCAAGTGATTCCCCTGCCTCGGCCTCCCAGAGTGCTGGGACTATAGGCTTGAGCCACTGCACCCGGCCAACTATTACATTTTTAAATATGACATTTTAAATTTATGTTTTTAAATGTTCTTCCATGTGCTATTCTATAATCATCTCTTGTATCACCCACAATGCAGACGTGGCATTTAAGTTACATTTGATTTGTATGCCAGGGTTCATAGCAGCATTATTCATAATGGCCAAAAGGGGGAAACAACCCAAATGTCCATTGATGGATGAAGGGATAAATAAAATTGGTAAGTACAAGTAATGGAATACTATTCAGCTTTCACAGGGATGAAATTGGCCGGTGCAGTGGCTCATGCTTGTAATCCCAGCATTTTGGGAGGCAGAGGCAAGAGGATTGCTTGAGCCCAAGAGTTCAAGACCAGCCTGGGCAATACAGTGAGATCCTGTCTCTACAAAAAAGTAAAAAAAAAAAAAAAAAAAAAAAAAATTAGCTGGGCATGGTGGCGTGCTCCTGTAGTCCCATCTACTTGGGAGGCTGAGGTAGGAGGATCATTTGAGCCCAGGAGGTTGAGGTTGCAGTGAACTGTGATTGTGCCACTGTACTCCAGCCAGGGAGACAGAGTGAGACCCTGTCTCAAGAAAAAAAAAAAAAGGAATGAAATTCTGACAATTCTGACACATGCTGCAATATGGATGATACTTGAAGACATTATGTAAAGTGAAATTAGCCAATCACAAGAGGACAAATACTGTATGATTCCACTTACATGAGGTGCCTAGAAGAGTAAAATTTGGGCCAGGTGTGGTGGCTCACGCCTGTAATCTCAACTATTTGGGAGGCTGAGGCAGGAGAATCACTTGAACCTGGGAGTGAGAGGCTGCAATGAGTTGAGATTGGGCCACTGCACTCCAGCCTGGGCGACAGAGTGAGACTCCATCTTAAAAAAAAAAAAAAAAAAGTCTCCTTTTCTCTTTACCTTATCTCTTTGTTAAGCTGTCAGCCTGCTATGGTATCACATACAGCCGTTAGCCTCCACCAACTGCTGGCTGATTGTTCTTTCGTGTTTGATAATGCCCTGGAGGCATGAATTGCTCCTGTCTTGTACATTAAATTTGGGCCCCTTTGCAAGGGTAATCTTTCAGGTCAGTCTTTGAGACTTATTCTAACACCAAGGGGGCTCTTCTTAGCTGATGCTTTCCCTGGTTCTCTCCAGAACACTTCTAGCTGGTCTACAGTTCAGCTTGTTGCTTGAATGGAGTTCCCAGGCTCCTCTTAATTGCTTACCAACAAAATCTTCATTGTTTTTGAGAACACCCTTACACTTGAACTTTCCCACATTGTGTTCTACATAAAGTGTTTTCTTGGGAAGAACTTCAGAGGTCTCTGTATCTACCGCCTTCCTCTCCCCTTGGGCAAAACCTCTGCACCACTGCTCCGGAGCTTGGGGAACTCAGGCAGAGACAGTGGCCCCCTTATCTCAGGATGACAATCCGGCTTTATGAGCAGAGTGCTGGGCAGAGCAGTAGCTTTTGCTCTTCTGCTCTTGCCTTTCCTGTAAAGAATCTCTGCCCCATGAGCAAGCTGAGGCCAGGGTAACACAGGCTCCAGTATTCTCAGCCTGCCATGGCCGAGGTGGAGTTTCTGCCCTATGATTGGGGGCTAGGTTTACGAAGTGAGCCCCAGATTTATCAGCCAGTCTTGTCCAAAGTAGAGCTTTTGCAGCATGAAGCTGGAGGGTATGAGAAATGCTGGCAGCCGCCCTCCCAGCGAGATATAGTAGCCCTCAACTGAGAGCTGGGGAAAGAGGTAGCCCGTGTTCTCGGCTTCACCTACTTAGAGTAACTTTTCCATCATGCTGAGCTAGAAGAAGGAGGGAGGAAGTCTTTTGTGGTACAAATGTTATTGACTCTCACTGTTCTTACTGAGACTTAGTACATTTTCTTGAATAAAAGTTTATTAATTTGCCGCATCCCCATAAAACAATTTCCAAAGGCTTTAAATAGTTGTGGCTTTGATCTTAAGCAATTTCCAGAGATTATGGTCATTTCACTGGGGAGAGGGTTCATGGAGCTCCTCATGCTGCCATTCAGAAGTCATGGAAACCAAAATGTGTCTGAGACAGATCTCTATCCATGTAGAGGTTTATTTTGCCATGTAGAGGTTTATTTTGCCATGTAGAGGTTTATTTTGCCATGTAGAAGTTTGTTTTATTTCTTCTTCTGGGAGAAAGAAACACAAGTAACCATAGTTCTTCTGGGAGAAAGAAACACAAGTTACCATAGGATCTGTGGCCTGTGCTTTTTCCAAAAAGGGTTTTTCAGGACTTTAGAGAGGAAAGGAAAAAAAGAAGGAAGGGTAAGCAATGAGACAGGAGATTACTTTCCTATGCGGCTTTGATTAGCACTCGCTGAATCTACATTTTACATGTGAAAGGGGCGGGTAGAGGAACAGTCAATTATGTTAGTTTTCTTGCTTGGTAAATCTACATTTTACATAAAATATGTAAACACAGAGTAGAGGAAGAAATCTAATATGCATTTGTCTTGGGTGGGCAGAGGAATTATTTCTAGTCTGGTCTTTGTCTCATACCTGTGAAGATAAGATGTTAATCTACATAGTTGGCCAGGCACAGTGACTCATGCCTGTAATCCCAGCACTTTGGGAGGCTGAGGCAGGTGGATCACTTGAGGTCAGGAGTTCGAGATGAGCCTGGGCAACATGGTGAAATGCCCATGTCTATTAAAAGTACAAAAAATTAGCCAGGCTTGGTGGCAGGCACCTGGAGTCCCAGTTATTCAGGAGGCTGAGACAGGAGAATTGCTTGAATCTGGGAGGCAGAGGTTGTAGTGAGCCAAGATCGTGCCACTGCACTCCAGCCTGGATGACAAGACTCTGTCTCACAAGAAAAAAAAAAAGAAAAAAAAAAAGCCTACATTGTCAGGGTGAGATTCAACAGAACTGTGTTTTAGGGGTAGTTCATCAGGAGGATATGTATTCTGAAAGATTTGGGACCCACAAAAAATTTCCTTGTAAGCAATTGTGAGGAAGGCCACCTGGGGAGATAGATGGCCTTCCGTTATCACATACTCATTCCTAACTAAGTACCCAGAGAAAAACATGGACAATAACGTTCATAATAGCGCCATTTGTAATAGCTTAAGGTTGTAAACAGTCCAAATATCCAAATGCAACGATCTGTTTAGGAGCAAAAGGAAGGCAGTTTTTGTGTGACTCAGTTTCCAAGCTTAATTTTTCCCTTTGACATAGTGAGTTTGGGGTCCCAAGGCTTTATTTTCTTTTCACAGTTATATGCCCTATCATGATGATTTATTATGAAGCCATATTTTAGTCCAATTAATCTGGAGGCAATGTTCAGAGAAAATTAGAAATAGGAGAGGTTGGAGCCAGGTAGAAGAGATAACAGGTTATTGCATTAGTTTCAATGTAAGTTGTTAAGGGCCTGAACTAGACAGTGGAAGTAAAAAGAAAAGAATAACAGTGATGTGAGCATAGATTCTTCAGGACTTCCCCACAGATTAAATATGGGGTGCAAGAAAGAGAGAAGGGTCAGAGATGATCCCAAGGTGGTTCTAATATGGGAGAGAAAGGTAAATTTACTTTAGATCTGTTGAGATTTTGGTGACACATATATTCAAGGGAAAGGGAAAATATGACATCATTACTAGAAAGGGAGCATTGGTAAGCAGGGGAGAGGCTGAGTTTTGTAGACAAGGGGATTTGGAGTCATAGTTTCTAGGTAACACGTTGCAAAAGCTGTCCACAGTACAAGATAATGGAAGTCATAGGCATAGACAAGTTTCAGAGAGAAAGAAAAGCAGACCAGGTTAACTTGAACTTGGGAGAATGAAACTTGGCAGGAGGAGAAAAACAGTGAAGGAGCTTGAGAAGTTACCACCACAAAGGGAGGAAGGGTTGACAGCTAACATTTATAAAACCCTTACTAAGAGACAAGCACGATTCTAAGAGTTTTAGATTTTTTTAAATATTTAATCCTCCCAATAACTCCACAGGGTGAATATGATTATGCCTGTTTTACAGATTAAGAAACTGAGGCCAGAGAGGTAAAATAATGTGCTTGAGGTCACAAAAGTGATATTAAGTAAACCCAAAATTAAAACCTTGGCAACATGAGCATGCATAATTCTCATTCTTAAGTATGTACCCAAAGAAACACACGGACAATAACATTCACAATAGCACCATTCGTAATAGCTTAAGATTGTAAACTGTCCAAATGTCCATCAACACTAGAATGGATAAACAGATTGTAGAACATTCATATTCAATGGAATACTATGCAGCATTGGGAATGAACAAATCATTACGATAAGCATGCCACCAGCATAAAGGTGAGTGAAAGAAGCCAGTCATCCAAGAAATGTATGCTATGATTTTATTTATATAAAGTTCAAAAAGAGGTAACACATGGCTGTGGTGTGAAAAAGTCACCTGACCTTTGTGAGGTGGTAGAGACTGGGAAAGGGCCTGAGAGGGGGTTCTTGGGTGCCAGTGATGCCCTGTTCCTGAGCTGGGTGGTGGTTACACAGGTGTGTTCACTTATGAAAATTCATCAAGCTGCTCACTTATGATTCATGTACTTTTCTGTGTGTAGGTAACAAACAAAAAGTACTAAAAAACAAGAAAGCAAAATAGAACCAGGGCATCTGATTTGAGGACCTACCCCCTTAACCACAGAGTGATCCAGAGAACAAGGGTCTTTTCTCCTCTTCCACAAAGAAAAATGTGGAAGGGGACCTTATAAAATTATAAATTTAAAAGAAATTGAAGAGATAGATCAACCAAATGGAATGTATGGGTCTTATTAGCATCCAAATGAAAACAAACCGTAGCTGGGTATTATGGATCATGCCTGTAATCCTAGCACTTTGGAAGGCTGGGGCAAGTGGATCACTTGAGCCCAGGAGTTTGAGACTGGCCTGGGCAACATGGTGAGACCTCATCTCTACAAAAATACAAAAAAGTAGCTGGACATGGTGGCATGCACCTGTAGTCCCAGCTACTTGGGAGGCTGAGGTGGGAAGATCACCTGAGCCCAGGAGGTAGAGGCTGCAATGGGTCATGATCGCACCACTGCACTCCAGCCTGGGTAACAGAGCAAGATCCTGTCTCAAAAAGAAACGAAACAAAACAAAACAAAAATTAAACTGTAAAAGACAATAACAAAACAATTGGGGAATGAATATTAATTATATTATGATTATGTTTTATAAAAAGTCCTTCTATTTCAGAGATACATATTGACATACTGATGGATGAAAGAATGTCTGGCATTTGCTCCACAAGAATGAGGATACGAGTGTTGAGATGAAAGATTGGCCATGGATTGATCATTGCTGAAGGTGGATGATATCTACCTGGACTTCACTGTACTTTGTCTATTTGTTTGAGTATTTTGTGAAATAAGAAGTTTTTGCAAAAGAGAAGAAGAAAACTAACGTTCAGTGTGTTCGCAAAGGAACTGATTCCCTTGGCTCCATATTTTTAAATTTGGATCTCCTTTGAGAGAGAAAGAGAGCAAGCACATGGGTCACAGGACTAAAGGAGAAAGGGGACGTGTGGGTGGAGCATGAGCTTGCGATGCCTGCTCCTGTGGTTTTCTCTCTTCCTCTACTCCTCCACTGGAACAGTTCTGGCAAAGGCCACTGTGACCCCCACTCACTGCTGCATCCAGCAGTTGGCTTTCAGTTCTTCTTTACTTGACATCTTGGTAGCTTGGGACTCTGGTGGCCAGGCCCCCTGCTTGGGAAGCACCTCTGGTTTTCCTTTGTCCATTTCACAGCCTGCCCCATGGACTCTTCTTCCTGTGCCTGATTCTTCAGTCCTGGGCCTGTCCTCAGCCTGCTGCTCTTCTTCCCCATACCCTCTTCCCTGGTGGTTCTGTCCTCTCCCAGCGCTTGAGTTGCTGCCAGGGCTGTCTTTCTAAACAGCAGTTCTCACCAACTGATTCCCTTGTGAAGACCCAGGAATAGCTTCCCATTGCCCAAATGATAACATTCAAACTCTTCCTGGAGGTACAGGAGGCCCTTCAGCATCTTTTTTCGCCTCCACTTCCTTTCTACCTTCCCTCTCTAGCCTTCCCTCCTTCTCCTCCCCTTCACACCCTCCGAGTCAGCCAGTGACATTATCAACACTTCTGGAATGCACCAGGCCGTTCCTTGCTCCCATACCTTTGACTCGATCTGGACTACTCACCCACACACTTCCCTACCTGGAAAACTCTACTCACCCTTTGAGACTCTGCTGCAAGCTCACTCCATCCATAAAGGCTTTCCTCATCTTCCTGTGGAGTTCATTCATCCATTCAATCATCCATTCCTAATAGATGTAGATGCAAAGACCTATGATAAGGCTGAGTGCTGGGGGCCAGAACCCACATCATTCACACTTTACCTCACAGTTCCTATCTCAGGTATTGCCTTACTTACATGATAGCTGCTCCCAAGCCCTACCCCTTGAGGCCAAGGAGGGTGACTTATTCCTCTTTGTACCCAAGTGATAGTAGGCACTAAAACACGCTTGTTCAATTGAATTGAAAGAGAAGAATTACCGAGAAAAGGCCTCTGGGTTTGGCCATTCAAACACTTTTGATAAACTTTGGGTGTCTCTGTACTAAAGTTTAGGGTTGGGGGTGAAGGGAATGAGGCTTTTTCTCCTGAGGGTTAAGGAGAAGCCAGGAATTGGTACCGCTGTAGGCCACTTGCTTGAGAAATGTTATCAGTGATATGAGGCAGGAAACAGGATGACAGCAAGATTGAGTGATGGCGGAGTTCAGCATATTTTAAAAGACAGATAGGGAAGAGCTAGTGGAAGTAGACTTGAGACGCTGGTGAGAGGCAATGTTCCAGAAGAAAATGACAAAGCAAGCTAGGTTCTTTTCTTTGTTGGGGAGGGGTTGGAGACAGGTGAACCTCATACAGGCCTGGGGGCAGCTCTTCCTCTAAGATGGAAGGGAAGGCTAGAAAGTGGAGGAGTCATAGCAGCCACTTCGGGTGCCTGCCTTATGCCAGACTCTTTCATTTCCATTACACTTAATCCTCAGTCTTCATTTTCAGATAAGGAGAATGGCTCAGTGTTTCAGTGGTTTTCCACCTGGTGACACATTAGAATCCCCTGAGGAATTTGTTAAAACAGTGCATCTGGGTCTCACTCCCAGCTTTCCTGATTTAATTTGATCTGGGAAAGAACACTGGCATCAGAATTGTTTAAGATCTTCAGGTGACTCTTTTTTTTTTTTTCAGATGGAGTTTCGCTCTTGCCCCCCAGGCTGGATGCAGTGTCATGATCTCTGCTCACTGCAACCTCCACCGCCCGGGTTCAAGCCATTCTTCTGCCTCAGCCTCCGGAGTAGCTGGGATTACAGGAGCACGCCATCACGCCCTGATAATTTTTGTGTATTTTTAGTAGAGACTGGGTTTCCCCATGTTGGTCAGGCTGGTCTTGAACTCTTGACCTTAGGTGATCCACCTACCTCGGCCTCCCAAAGTGCTGGGATTACAGGCGTGAGCCACCATGCCCGGCCCAGGTGACTCTTATGTACAGAGTGGAGAACCAATGTAAGAAATCTGTCAGAGGTGACCCGCTTGCTGGGATGGAATTTAATTCAGGTCCGCCAATCCCAAAGCCCTTTCTCTTTCTCCTAGCACTGTGATTCTGAGTGTGGGTCCCACAGCAGCAGCATCGGAAACACCTGGGAGCTTTTCTAACAAAAAGAGTAGTTCTAATCTACTAAGTAAAAAACGCTGGGGTGGGGCCAGCAATGCGGTTTAATAAGCCCTCCAGGTGGTTCAAGTTTGAGACCCACCGCTCTGAAATCTTGCTACTCAGTGTGATCCACAGATGTGTAGGATCGATATCATGATATTAGAAATGCAGAACCTCAGGTCCCCCAAGACCTGCTGAATCAGAATTTGTGTTTGGCAAGATCCCGAGATGCTTCGCATGGTTAGAGTTTGAGAAGTAGTGCGTGAGGCCACTAGTTTCCAAACCTGGCCAATGATCAGAATTAACACACTTTTTAAAAGAAAACTACAGATTCCCTGTAATCCCAGCACTTTGGGAGGCCGAGGAGGGTGGATCACCTGAGGTCAGGAGTTCGAGACCAGCCTGGCCAACATTGTGACATTCTGTCTCTACTAAAAATACAAAAAAATTACCAGGCATGGTCGTGGGCACCTGTAATCCTAGCTACTTGGGAGGCTGAGGCAGGAGAATCGCTTGAACCTAGGAGGCGGAAGTTGCAGTGAGCCAAGATCGTACCACTGCACTCCAGCCTGGGCAACAGAGCAAGACTGTCTCAAAAACTACAGATTCCCCAGATATTCCACACAAGTTTCTAGCTAATCAGGTCTGAGCTCACACCTAGGTCCCTTTTTTAAAGCTCCCCATAAATCTGATGATAGATTAAGTTTAGCATTGCTCCACAATGCTGCTCTCTGTAGAAGTGGGAATTTTCTGAGTATATTCTTTGTCCCAGGCCCCTCAAAAAGTGCTTTCCTCACAACTAGGCTTGCTAGATTTAGCAAATGAAAATACAGAATGCCTAGTTAAATTTGAATTTCAGATAAAGAGCAAATACTTTTTTAGTATAAGTATGTCTCAAATATTGTGTGGGCTATACTTATAAAATTATTTTAAGTAGTGAAAACAGGTTTAGCAAACTTACTAGTTAAAAATTAAATTTTATTAATATGATCAATTTAAATTTAGGAAAAGTTTCTAAAATTATGTATTGTTTATCTGAATTTCAAATTTAGCTGAGCATTTTGTATTTTACTTGGCAGCTCTACTCACAAAAGTACTGAAGTTCCAAGGAGAAGCTTGGCATAACCATATTGAGGGCAAGAAGAGGCAGAACTTGTCAGACATCAATAAGAAATGGATGAATGGGTGAATACCAAAGATATCATGTAGAGCTGCCTCAGTCAGCTTAGGCTAAGTTATCCTGCAGTAACAAATGACCTTCTCAACTCAGTGGCTAAATAAACCCCAAACTTAACTTTCCCTTCCCTCCCCTCCCCTCTCCTTTTCTTCCCTCCCCTTCCCCTTCCTCTCCCCCTCCTGCTCATCCTTCCCCTTCCCCTCCCCCTCCTGCTCATCCTTCCCCTTCCCCTTCTCCTTCCCCTCCTTTCCTCTTTTGAGACCGAGTCTTGCTCTGTCACCCAGGCTGGAGAGCAGTGGCACAATCTCAGCTAACTGCAACTTCTGCCTCCTGGGTTCAAGTGATTCTTGTGCCTCAGACTCCCGAGTAGCTGGGACTACAGGCCCCCACCACCATGCCTGGCTAATTTTTGTATTTTTAGTAGAGACAGGGTTTCGCCATGTTGGTCAGGCTGGTCTCAAAATCCTGACCTCAAGTGATGCACCTGCCTCGGTCTCCCAGAGTTCTGGGATTACAGGCATGAGCCACTGCACCTGGCCCAAACATTTGTTTCTTATTTGCATTACATATCCATCGAGGTCAGCTATCTTCCTCCTCATTCTGTGACCAAGGCTCATAGGAGGTTTCTAACGGAGACATTTTTGTTCTCCTCAAAAAGGAAAAAAATAAAAGTGTGACATGACTCTTACAGCTTGGGTGACCAGCTATCCCAGTTTGCCCAGGACTGGGGGTTTCCTGGGACACAACACTTTAGTGTTAAAACCAGAATAGTCTTCGTCTTCAGGTAACTGAGGTTGGTCACCCTACAATAAAGCTTCTACCCGAAAGTGGCATGCACCACTTCCATTGGCCAAAAAAGTCATATGACCAAGTTTGTCATCAGGGAGTGAGCATTATAATCGTCCAGTATTGAGGGACCCTGTAGGATAAACATACCCAATAGCAATAACTTAAGCATACCCTTAGAATGACCCTGTATGGCAGACGCACCTGAGTGTGTGCTCTGAGCTAGGGAATCTGGGAGTGGCCAACCCAGAGATTCCTTCCTGTCTATGAGGAACATGTGAGCTCCACCCCACTCCCTTCCTGTCTGGTGGAATGTGGGCCGTATAAGGGATGGAGGCCATTTGTTTTAGGTTAAATGCAGGTTACCAGGTGAAGGTTGTTAAGGGGAGGGTTTTAAGTGAAAATACTGTATAAACTGCATGCTGTTTGCAAGTGGTTGCGTTTTTCCTGTCCAGTCTGCCACTGCTGGAGACTCTCCCCTGTATGTAAGCCCCAAATAAAACCCTATGTCTTTTTTTTTCTTTTGAGACGGGGTTTTGCTCTTGTTGCCCAGGCTGGAATGCAAAGGCACAATCTTGGCTCACTGCAACCTCCACCTCCCGGGTTCAAGCGGTTCTCCTGCCTCAGCCTCCCAAGTAGCTGGGATTATAGGCGCTTGACACCATGCCCAGCTAATTTTTTATATTTTTAGTAGAGATGGGGTTTCACCATGTTGGCCAGGCTGGTCTTGAACTCCTGACCTCAGGTGATCCACTCGCCTTGGCCTCCCAAAGTGCTGGGATCACAGGTGTGAGCCACCGTGCCCGGCCAAAACCCCATGTCTTATTTGCTACCTTTGGGTCTCTTCTTTGACCTCTTGAACCTGGTGCCTTCCCTACTGAGGTTAATTAGGGTTCAGCAAAACAGACCCATGGAGAGGAGCAATGAGTATTTAATAATGCAGTCTACCACAGAGAGCAAGCGGGGGGCACACTTCAGGAAGGCACACGCCTTCATTAGGAGGAAAATAGAAAAGGAAGGCCCTTCCGGACGGCAGAGCCAAAGGCCATGAAAGAGAATGGCATGAGGAACCCCCTTCCTCCAGGGGCAGGACTAAGACCTAATCTAGAAATATTCCCTATCCCCAGGATAGGGGGCCCCTTATGATGTCAGCCCAGTGGAATTTCAAGATGTCCATAGATCAATGATTACCCATATCTGCTGTCCACATGCTATTCTAGAGGCTTGCCCACTCCCTCATGCCTTGAACCTGTAAACACTGTGTAACCTTGACCAATATCATGTCTCTCATTCTTTCCTTTCTAAATAATGTTAGAAATGCAGAACCTCAGGCCTTCCCCCAGATCTGCTGAGTGTTTATTGAGATTACCCCATCCCTGTTCTTCTTTGGCCCATGGGGTATGTGGAGGGCTGATAACTAGACTTCTTAGTTCCGCATCTCCAGACCAAGAGGAAACCACATCCAGACCCAATGTAGGAACTACCATGAGATCTTGGACTTAATGTCTGATGCTTGTATTAGGGATGCAAATAATTGTGACAAGGAGGGATACTACGGTAGCTTGTGATACTATTTCAAAATATCTGTTGCCCCTCTAGGAGTGTTCCTTCCAGGTCGCTTTCTACATAGGGATTATATTTGTAACCCACTGAACTTAGGCTTAGCCATGTGACTTGCTTTGGCCAATAGAATGGGAGCAGAATGAACACATGTCACTTCTGAGGAGGAGTTTGAAGAAAAATCACATGGCTCACCATTGTCTCTTTTTCTTCTGCCTGGAGACTAGTAATGTTCCAGATAGAGCCTGCTCCTTCAGCCTGGATCCCAGAGCAGAGTTACAGCCAATCCACAACATCTGTATAGTATAAGTGAGAAATAACTGGAGTTATAAGCCACTGAGATTTTGGTGATGTTTGTTACCACAACACAACCAAGCCTACCCTTTCTTCATGATACAAGAGTAAATAGCAGGGCATGGTGGCTCATGCCTATAATCCCAGCACTTTGGGAGGTCGAGGCAGGTGGATCACTTGAGGCCAGGAGTTCAAGACTAACCTGGCCAACATGGTGAAACCCTGTCTCTACTAAAAATACAAAAATTAGCCATGCATGGTGGTACGCACCTGTAATCCCAGCTACTTGGGAGGCTGAGGCAGGAGAATCACTTGAACCTGGGAGGCAGAGGTTGCAGTAAGCTGAGATCATGCCACTGCACTCCAGCCTGGGTGACAGAGCAAGATTCCATCTCAAAAAAAAAAAAAAAAAAAAAAAGAGTAAATGAACAAGATGACAGGAGAATGCTTCTGTGTGATTCCATTTTTACAAAGTTTGCAAGCAGGCAAAACTAAACAATATATTATTTAGGAAAAAACCTGGAGTGGCAAAATTATAAAGAAAGCAAGAACATGAGTAACACAAAACTCACAAGGGTGGTTACTTTCGATCGAGGGTCAGAGAAACACAATTGGAGAGTTCTAAACTACTAAATTATATTTACTGTCTTGTGTGTGAATTTTACAACTTAAAGAAAAAGATTATGCCTGTAATCCCAGTTACTTGGAAGGCTGAAGTGGGAGAATCATTTGAGGCCAGGAGTTTGAGGCCAGCCTTGGAAAAATAGTGAGACCTCATCTTTAAAAAAATTTACTTAATTAGCCAGGCGTGGTTGTGCATGCCTATAGTTCCAGTTGCTCTAGAGACTGAGACAGGAGGATTGCTTGTGAGCCCAGGAGTTTGAGGCTGCAGTGAGCTATGATTGTGCCACTGTGCTCCAGCCTGGGCAACAGAGAGAGATCCTATCTCTTTAAAAAAAAAAAAAAAAAAGAAAAGAAAAGAAAAGAAAAAAAGAGCTTGCCAGACTGTTTTCCAAGTGACATACCAATATCTTCTGTCCATGTGCTGTTCTAGAAGCTTGCCTTTGGGAGGCTGAGGTGAGTGGATCACAAGGTCAGGAGTTCAAGACCAGCCTGGCCAATATGGTGAAACCCCATTTCTACTAAAAATACAAAAATTAGCAGGGTGTGGTGGCATGCGCCTGTAGTCCCAGCTACTCAGGAGGCTGAGGCAGGAGAATCACTTGAACCCGGGAGGTGGAGGTTGCAGTGAGCTAAGATCTAGTCACTGCACTCCAGCCTGGGCAACAGAGAGAGACTCCCTCTTGACAAAAAAAAAAAAAAAAAAAAAAAAAAAAAGAGGAAGCTTGCCCACTTCCTCATGCCTTGAACCTGGGAAAACTCTGTAACCTTGACCAATATCATATGATGCCATATGGTGCTCTGTGACTTCTGAGGCCAGGTCATAAAAATGCCATGCACTTGTGCTTTGCTTTCTCGGGACACCTTCCCTTGGACCCCAGTTACCAGCTAGTCTGATGAAGCCCAGCTAGCCCGTGTGGAGAGAACACATGGAGGGACCACGTGTAGGTGTTTGGGCTGAAAGCCCAGCTGAGGTTCCAGCCAAACCACCAGACATGTGGGTGAAGACGCCTCCGGATGACTCTAGCCCCCAATTGTTGAGTCATTCTCAGCTTTCAAGTCTTTCCAGCTGAGGTCTCAGACACCAGGGAGCAGAGGCTAGCCACCCCTGCTAGTTGCTGTCTAATTTCCTGACTCAAAGACTCTGTATGCAAAATAAAATGGTTGTTTTGTGCTACTTACATTAGGGGTGGTTTGTTATGTAGCAGTACATAACTGAAATCATTTATACATGCACACACACAGAGTTTGTGTGTGTGTGTGTGTGTGTGTGTGCACGCGCACATGTGTGTATGTATAAGAATTTCTCCCTTGGGCCCTATAAAAATAACATTAGATGGTTAGTTGCCCACAGAATGCTCTGTGGGAGACCCTGAGGGGTAGAAGTCCTGTAGGGGAGAAAAACAGAAAAAGACTATGAAGTCTAGGGTTTGGTCTTTGAGAAAGAAATTCTCCCTTCTTCTATGGTAAAGAAGAGGAAGGTGATTCAGTATTTGTGGCCAGAGAGTCCCACTAGACCGTTTCTTTCATGTGATCATTCACTGGTTTATTGAAGAATGAGTTCATTCATTACACAGTGGCTGATCATCTACAGGCATCAGGCTGTGAGTGGAGACCCCAATGTGTCATGGTACCTACCTCAAGGTTTGGACTCTCAGAGCCCAGAAGGAAAAGATGGAGAACAAGTGAATAGAGTTTGCTCCACAGAGTGTTAGGATAGTAGCAGGCAGGAGGTGCTGTAGAACTCCAGCCAGGTCTCACAGAAGACATCTGGGGTGTTCGAGAAAAGCTGAGTATTGGGAAAAAGGCTGAGGCAGGGCTTGCATGGCTGACATAATGTAAAACAGTCTTGGAACATGCCTGGGGTCCAGGGTCTAAAACCCCTCATGGCCTTTGGAACACCAAGCTCTGTGCCAAAGGGTGGAAACCTGCCCTGCCACACCACAATCTAAGCCCAGGGCATAAAACCCCTTGTGGCTTGGACAGAATCCAGGGCTCAGGGCTTAAAACTCCTTGTGGCCTCTGGAATGTGTCTAGACTTGCTGGCTTCTTGCTTCTAGCACTCCCAGGCTATTAGATCGATTGTAACTTAAACTAGAAGAACATGTTTCCCATTATCTCAAGTAGCAGAACATGTTCCATATGCTTCAAAGAAAATGCTAAACTGTCACAGTTGTAGATCATGTGCTTGATACACTGCTTTCTTTCAACCCCCACATCCTCACCACCTGCTTCTTTGTTTGATCACCAATAAATAGTGTGGGCTTCCAGAGCTCCGGGCCTTAGCAGCCTCCATACTAGCATTGGCCCCCTGATCCCACTTTATGCACTCTTGTCTTGTCTCATTCCTTTAACTCCACTGGACTTCGTAGCCCCCATGGCCTGGTGTTGGGTCTGATCACCCCAACATGGGGCCCCACCATCAATTCACATCTCCTTCCTCAACTGTATAGAATCTGGAGCAGAAAGAGCTGTGAATCTCAAGACTTTCTGCCGCTTGTTTATTCAGAGTCCAAACTCCCTAAGTATGGTGACCTCACAAGTATCCAGACACATTTTCCAGACTTCATGGCATCTGGAGAAAGGACGACTAACACAGCTGTGCCATGCCACTGTGCAATCAGGCACTCAGCTGCAGACACCAAAGGGAACTGTTTCACTACAGCTTGACTTGGCCTCTTGGCTGGCCCGTGGCTCTCTTGGCCTGCCGCAACAGGTACCCTTCACTGAAAAGGTATCTTGCTGAGCACAGGTTTCTGCCCAGCCCTCCTGCTGTGGCTTAAGACCTCCAGCACCTCCTATTTACTTGTGTGAGCAGGCAGCCATGTTCCTCCAGGCCTTGGGAAGGAAATATGATAGGAGAATGCCTTGGTGACAAGGATGCCCAAGGTATTGGGTTGAATTGTGTCCCCCCAAAATATATGTTCAAGTCCTAACCCCTGGTATCTGTGAATGTGACCTTATTTGGAAATAGGGTCTTTTGCAGATGTAATCAAGTTAAGATGAGGTCATACTGGATTAAGGTAGGCCCTAAGGCCAAAGACTGGTATCTTTATAAGAGAAAGGAGGAGGAGATTTGAATACGGAGAGATACACAGGGAAGAGGGCCAAGTGCAGATGCTGGAATGATGCATCTACAAACCAATACCACTAAGGATTGCCAGCAACTACCTGAAGAGAGGAGAGAGGCAAGAAAGGGATCCTCCTTCATACCCCTCAGAAGGAACCATGATTTTGAACTTCTAGCCTCCAGAACTGTGAGAGAACAAATTTCCGTTGTTTTAAGCCCCCAGGTTTGTGGTACTTTGTTACAGCAGATCTAGGAAACTCAGGGAAAAAATCCTAAATATTGCATAGCTTTCTCTTTCCAAAGAGAGGATATAGAGGAATGGTCACAAACACAAACATTTTAGTGATGCACACACCTGGTCCAAACTCTGAATCAATCATTCACTCGTTAATGTCTTTGGATGCATGATTGAACCCGAGTTTCCTTATGTGCAAAAGTAATAAAATGTACTCTTCAGATAATGTATGTAAAGTGCCAGGAACATAGCAGGTATTATGTAAATGGTAGATAATACCAGTATACTAGCCTCAGATTCCATTCTCTGCAATTACCAAGGAAGTCTTCCTTTTCCCTGGGATCCTGCATTAGGACAGAAGCAAGCAGAGTGCTGTTATTTCTATATCATGGGGGGCTTCTGGAAGGAAAGAGTTAGCACATGCTTGAAGATAACCAAAGCTAGAGTCTGTATAGACATAAGGAGGGTGAGGCAAAGTGGGGAAGCTAAAACTTCTCTGGAAAATTGTGGAAAAGCCTATATTCATTTGAAATACAAGGGATATTAGTCAATTATGCTGCATTTAGTGAAATGCCTCCTTCATGTGCATTAAAACAATGTAATGTCTAAGATCATTGTTTGTTCTTAGGAAGGGAGTGTTTGGCATTAATTTTACCCAAGAGTAAGCTACAGACTGTCAGGAAAAGAAACAAGAGGCCCTCAGGAGGAAGAGGAGGCATATCATACACCAGAGGTCAGGACCTCCCAAGTGGTGAGACTGGGGATGCCCAAGTCTGCCCTGGACAATTCTGTTGAAGCCTCCTAATATGGTGTTATTCTACACCCTTAATTAACATTTCTGGAAAATGTGCTATGGACAATGATTCTAAATGAGTTTGCCATAACGGGTGGATGGGAGTAGAGGCAGAGGTGGAGGGGTATTCTAAACTGATAACAACCTAGTAGGAAGGAGGATTTCCTTGAAGGAGGAGGTGGAGAATCACACCAATGATGGAGGAGGGGCTCTCTGAGCTGGAAATAACTGGATGCATTGAGTCTGGAAAGGAAGGCCAGGATCCAAGATGCCCATAGCACCCATGTTTTTTCTTTTATCCAGTAGACTTACATTTAGGCTGTATATTTTTGGGGAGGAATGTACATACTCATATGATAAAATTACAGAGAAAAGCATGGGAATGGTTAACACAAAAATCAGAATAGTGATCCCTCTCGGGGGATGAGAGGGCAATGAGATGGGGCAGGGCCTGCAGGTGCTTCTGAGGTTCTGAGAATACTCTATTTCTTCAGCTGGGAGTAGGATACAGACTGTTCATTTTGTTAGCATTCTTGAAGCTTAACATATACATTATATGCTCTCCTGTGTGATATGTTTCTCAATACAAATTGGAAAGATTGTTCATCACTGAAAAGTCTATTAAGCAAAAAAACTGTAAATAATCAAGTGTTCATTGTTAGCAATCTAGTTAAATAACTTATAAAATATCTGTTGAGCAATATACCAAATAGTCATTAAAAATAATAATTTAATTTTACTTTGTTGACATGAAATGATGTCTAGAATATATTAAGTGGAAAAAGCAGCCTAAAGAACTATTTGTACCAAGTGTCCATCAACAGATAAATATAAGAACACAATGTTGGCCGGGCGCGATAGCTCACTCCTGTAATCCCAGCACTTTGGGAGGCCGAGGTGGGCGGATCACAAGGTCAGGAGATCGAGACCATCCTGGCTAACACGGTGAAACCCCGTCTCTACTAAAAATACAAAAAATACAAAAAATTAGCCGGGCGTGGTAGCACATGTCTGTAGTCCCAGCTACTCAGGAGGCTGAGGCAGGAGAATCGCTTAAACCCGGGAGGCAGAGGTTGCAGTGAGCAGAGATCGCACCACTGCACTCCAGCCTGGGCAACAGAATGAGACTCCGTGTAAAAAAAAAAAAAAAAAAAGGACACAATGTTATATATAAATACATACAAAGAAAGGAAATTCTGACACATGCTATAACATGGATGAAGCTTAAAGGCATTATGCTAAATAAGCCAGACACAAGAGGGCAAATACTGTATGATTCTACTCAGATGAGATACCTAAAGTCACCAAATTATGCAGGGACAAAAAGCAGAATGGTGGTTGTCAGGGGCTTGGGGGAGGGGTAATGGGGGTTCTTATTTAATGCAGGGGTCCTCAACCCCTGGGCCATGGACTGGCACCTGTCCGTGGCCTGTTAAGAACCAGGCTGCACAGCTGCACAGCTGCACAGCAGAAGGTGGTTTCAGAGGTGGAACAGTTTCATGCTGAAAACATCCCCGCTACCCACCCTGTCCGTGGAAAAATTGTCTTCCATGAAACCAGTCTGGTGCCAAAAATGTTGGGGACCACTGACTTGATGGGTACAGAGTTTCAGTTGGAGAAGATGAAAAAGTTCTGGAAGTGAATCGTGGTGATAGATGTATAACAATGTGAATGTACTTAGTGCTATAGGACTGTACACCTAAACATGCTTAAAATGGTAAATTTTGTTATTTATGTTTTACAACAATAAAAAAACTGTATGTATAGTATGAATACTCCCCTTTCTCTTTGTGTTTATATGTGTGATGTGATGTGTGTGTGTGTGTCTGTGTGTGTGTGCATGTGTGAGAGAGAGAGAGAGAGGCAGAGATTAGTTGAGAACGCATATATAGGAAAAGAGTCTGGCAGGACTTATATTAATATGTCAGCAGTGGTTATCTTTTGGTAGTCAGATTACTGGTGATTTTTATTTACTTCCTTATACTTCATGCTTTTCTATATTCTAGGAGTTTTGGTTATGAGCAAATTTTTCATATGTAATAAGAAAAAATAAACCTGACCTCAAAAGAAAGGAATTCCATACTCTATCAAGAAGCAGCAATTTTTGGCCGGGCGTAGTGGCTCACACCTGTAATCCCAACACTTTAGGAGGCTGAGGCAGGGGGATCACTTGAGGCCAGCAGTTCAAGACCAGCCTGGCCAACATGGTAAAACCCCATCTCTACTAAAAATACAAAAATTAGCCGGGCATGGTGGCGTGCGCCTGTAGTCCTAGCTACTTGGATGGCTGAGGCACGAGAGTCACCTGAACCCAGGAGGTGGAGGTTGCAGTGAGCTGAGATCATGCCACTGCATTCCAGACTGGGTGACAGAGTGAGACTCTGTCTGAAAAAAAAAAAAAAAAAAGCAGCAGCAATTGTGACTGATTAAACAGACCTGACATACTCAAATGAGCAAGATAAAAGAAAATGAAAAGGAAGTTATTCTCCAATAAAAGTAATGCATTCAGTAAGCACCGGAAATCAATAAGGTGAGACAGGCCGGCTTTAGCGTCTCTTCTTTGACATTCTCATGCTCATGTGATAATCGAACAGCTTCTGAAACTGCTCCTATTCTTTTATTGCTAGTCTTAGAACCACTCCCCAACCCCTGGCCTTCCTAAATGTATTTTTAAAAAATCAATTCCAACTGGGTGCGGTGGCTCACGCCTGTAATCCTAGTACTTTGGGAGGCCGAGGCAGGTGAATCGCTTGAGCCCAGGAGTTCAAGACAAGCCTGGGCAACGTGGTGAAACCCTGTCTCTACAAAAATTACAAAACTTAGGTGTGGTGTTGTGTGCCTCTACTCCCAGCTACTCAGGAGGCTGAAGTGGAGTTAATACTCCCTTCTTGAGCCCGGGAGATCAAGGCTACCGTGAGCCAAGATCACACCACTGCACTACAGGCTGGGCGACACAGTGAGACCCTGTCTCAAAAAACAAAAACAAAAAACAAAACAAAAACCCACCCCCCCACACAAAAACAAACGAAAATCAATTCCATAACTTCCTCCAGTCTTACCTGTAGGGTACATTCTGCCCGAATGCCCGAACAACCTTTATATTCCTGACAAACAGCAAACTTGGGGCCTTTAACACCCTTCTTCACACACTCTGCTTTTTCCTGGATATCAGCATAGCCTCAGGACCCTAGCCAGCTTTCCTTTCAGCCTTCAGGTTCAAAAGATTTCTTTCCATCTGTGTGCTGTATCTTCCAGCATTCCTATTTTTGAAATAACCTCAGGCTTTGGTGGTAGCCGTGAGCTTAAACCTTATTGCTCTGCCTGCTCCAGTTCCTTGAAGCCTGGCCTACTGTTCCCTCACTGCAAGCTCAGTCACTTCTGACTGGTGTAGCTTCAGCCTCCTGATCATGCAAACTATGGCACAGGCATATTATGAATAGTTAGGCAGCTATTAATATGTTTGCCCTGGGAAAATACTCTTTTTGAAATTATCTTTTTTGGGCCAGGCACCGTAGCTCACATCTGTAATCCTAGCACTTTGGGAGGCTGAGGCAGGCAGACTGCTTAAGCCCAGGAGTTCAAGACCAGCCTGGGCAACATGGCAAAACCCCGTTTCTACAGAAAAATACAAAAATTAGCCAGGTGTGGTGGTGCACACCTGTAGTCCCAGCTACTGGAGAGGCTGAGGTGGGAGGATGGCTTGAACTTGGGAAGTTGAGGCTGCAGCGAGCTGAGATTGTGCCACTGCACTCCAGTCTGGGTGATAAAGTGAGACCTTGTCTCAGAAAAAAAAAATACAGATCTGTTTTGAATTGTTTAGATTCAGGAGGTATATGTGCGGGTTTATTACATGAGTTATATTGTATAATGCTGGAGTTTGAGCTTCTATTGAACCCATCACCCAAATAGTGAACATTGTACCCAGTAGGTAGTTTTTCTTTTTCTTTTTTTTTCCGAGATGGAATTTTGCTCTTGTTGCTTAGGCTGGAGTGCAATGGTGTGATCTCAGCTCACTGCAACATCTACCTCCCGGGTTCAAGCAATTCTCGTGCCTCAGCCTCCCGAGTAGCTGGGATTACAGGCACATGCCACCACGCCTGGCTAATTTTTGTATTTTTAGTAGAGATGGGGTTTCACCATGTTGGCCAGGCTGGTCTCAAACTCCTGACCTCAGGTGATCCACCTGCCTTGGCCTCCCAAAGTGCTGGGATTACAAGGCGTGAGCCACCATGCCCGGCCCCCAGTAGGTAGTTTTTCAATCCTTCCCTCCCTCCTTCCCTCCCTCCCCATTTTTGGAGTCCCCAGTGTCTGTTTCCATCATTATGTCCATGAGTACCCATTGTTTAGCTCTACTTATAACTGAGAACATGTGGTATTTGATTTTCTATTTCTTCATTAATTCATTTAGGATAATGGCCTCTAGCTGCATTCCTGTTGCTGCAAAGGACATGATTTCATTATTTTTTTTTAATGGCTGTATAAAATACTCTCGATCCACATTGCATATACAGTCTTGATTTCAAATGAAACTTAAAAAGGCACAGGACAAAACTAGGAAAGAAATATTTAAAAAATATTAATAGTTTGCTTCTGGGTAGTGAGATGATGGACACTTCCCCCCTTTGTCTTTATTCTTATACGTTTCAAGTGTTCCACAGTGAACACAAATCACTTAAAATCTGGAGGAAAAAGCTTCAAACAACTTCCTACACATAAAAGAAGAAACAGATTACACCTGGACTTGGGGCTTTAGTCTTAAGTGCTAGGCTTCTGTGTATATCACGGTGGCCCATTGAGAATGTGACCTATGTTTTGTCTTTTTGTTGTAGCATGAGTTTCCTGTTTGTGCTGGGATGGGGCAGAGGGCAGATAAGTCCTTAGGTTTTTATATCTGTGTTCTTCATGGTAAAGCTCTAGTATGGAGAAAATGAGCGAAAAAACTCTTTGTTTTGGGAGGAGTTAGTGTTTTTTTTTAAAAAGGCTGGCCGGGCGAGGTGGTGCATGCCTGTAATCCCAGCACTTTAGGAGGCCGAGGTGGGTGGATCACCTGAGATCAGGAGTTCACGAGCAGCCTGACTAATATGGTGAAACCCTGTCTCTACTAAATACAAAAAAATTAGCCGGGCATGGTTGTGGGTGCCTGTAATCTGAGCTACTTGGGAGGCTGAGACAGGAGAATTGCTTGTACCTAGGAGATGGACGTTGCAGTGAGCTGAGATCGCGCCATTGCACTCCAGCCTGGGCAACAAGAGCGAAACTCTGTCTCAAAAAAAAAAAAAAAAAAAAAAAAGGCCTTGGAGTGGTTCTTAGGGGCTGGTGTTGAAGGGACAAGCTTTTCAATGAGACACTGCTGTCTGAATCCAGTTCCCGCTTTGAATGGAAAAGGCTGCATAAATGCCTGGAAGACCTGGGAACCAAGAGCCAATGCACTGGGAGACCAAGAGGGGCCCCCAAGTTCATGGAGGACCTGCGTTCCACAGCTGGCCTGGGCAGGGGACAGTGGAATGAGGTTTTCCTTCGGCCACGGACCCTGCAGCAGGAAGAAGGAACTGCGGCTCTGCAATAGGAGACTCAAGTTTCCCATTTCCCATTGACAGTAGAGTCTGGTGGACTTCCTTGGTGGCAGATTCCTCTGCGATGGCAGCCTGCCCTCCTACCTAATTTCTGGGGATCAATTACTGCCCTCGAACCCACCATCTCTGGAATGGCACCTGCGACTGCTGTGCCATTCTGTATATTATGGGGTAGCCGGTCGTACTTCTCAAGCCCATCCCTATGAGAGAGTTAAATTCTCCAATTCATGGTTCAAGAGGTTTTTTTCCCCTTTCATTTCATCCATACCACTGTCTGCCCAACATTGTGACAAGAAATTCAGGGCTGCCTTCCCAAGTTATGAGTTGTGACCAATGATCAACCTAACGAATTTTGATCAGATCTGTGGGTCAGAAAATTGGAACAGGAAGTAATCTGTAGGCGTCTCCCAGGGACAAATAAATAGCCAGTTTGGATTTCCTCCAGGTCTGGTCTAGGCAGGTAGGTGGTCAGAACCATGCCAGCTTGTCTAGCCACAGCGAACATTTTGTGAGGATGTGAGTGGGTGTCAAGTGGCTCGCCTGGGTGGGCAGATGTACCCCTCTTCCTGGATCCCCTGGCATATGGGCATTGGTGAGACTGCAGAGCTGTGACCAGGTACAGCAGAGAAGAGAGCCCCAAACATGGAAGAGGGCATGATGGGAGATGCTGGAGAGGAGAGAAAATTTCCATTTGGCTTTTTGAGCTTCTTGTCAGGTCCTCAGAGCACAGCAACTTGGCAGCTCTCTGCGTGCCCCATTCCTAGTCTTCCTTCATGAATTTTTCATTTCAGGCAAAGAGCCCTTATCTTTCGCTGGAGCTGCTTTCCCATCAGCTGGTGACTAGGCAGATGAAGGTTGCATTAAGGCAGGAATTATCCATCCCTTGAGAGAGAAATGGCACTCTGTGCCCTTGAAAGGATGGCTTCTGCGCCACCACCCATTACTGCAGGCTTCTGTCCAACGTTGGATTGCTGTTTTTATTGAGATATTGTTGAGGGCTGAAAGAGAAAGGCTTCAAGGGCAGATACTATGGTCTTGTCTGAAGAGTGAGGTCTTTCCTGCTGCCAATCATTGGACATGAGGGGGCTCCACAGCAGGAAAGAGGAATTAAGAAGGGACTTGGCCTGTCACAACCCAGATTTCCAGGAGTCTCGATGTCCAGGGGCACTCCTGAGGGATGGAGGGAGTTAAGGATGTCATCTCTCCTTGTCCCCATCCCCTGGGCCCAGAGCAGGAGAAGCTCCTGCTGTGCACCTCCTCGGGCCATGTTCCTTTCTACAAAGGGAGTCCATACACCCACCCAAGACTAGGCTCCGTGTACCAGGACCCCAGAGTTTCTGTCCAAATTACAGCAAGCCCTCTTCTGTGCCTGCGGGGCATCTTCATTTTCTCTAGGTCTCTCTTCCCAAGAGTGGACCTCACTACCTGTGTTCACATGCTAGGTACTAGGAGTGGCCAAGGGGTAGCTGTTTTCAGGGTTGTAAGGGGTGTGGGTGTGGAGGAAGCTTGGATGTGTGAGCTGGAGTATCCACACGTATGTGAGGCTCCTCACGATCTGAAAGGATGAGCGTGGGTGGGTGGACCTGGGGCCAGAAGTGGAGAGCCAGGGGAATGGATCTCCAAGGAGGCTGAAAATCCTAAAAGTCAACCTGGTCTTTTAGGTGGTTATGAAGGTATCTACCTCAAGGCGGAAGGATGGAGCATACTTCATTTAAGGGTTTATCAGCTTGACTGAACAACTTGAAAATATGCAGACATAGAGTATGTGAGCTTCCATTCGTTCTCTTGCCTGGCGCCCCACAAATGTTGGTGGGCTTAATTTGTAAGTGGGGAGCTAGGGAGTCCTAGTCCTGGGGTCCCTGATGGACTGGGTAGAGGGCGAAGAGCTGCAGGAAAGAAGTCAGACCTGGCAAACTAAAGTTTTGACTCACGGTGTCCCCTGAATCTATCTTCGTTTTCTTAGTCCTCAGCTTTTAGGACAGTGTGATTGGAAAGTTCTGGCAGGTTTGTTTCTTTCTTTTTTTTTTTTCATTCCTTCTTATTAATAGCGGGTTTCACTGGGAAGCCGCATGGTGGCAATAGATGGCCCCAGTTGGAGAGGGAGCAGCGCCACCCTGAGGCCATGGAGGGAATGGCAGCAGGAATGGGGGTGAGCCCAACGGGGCCTGCCTCTCAGGAGCCCATGCACCAGGCACGCCCCCACCGTGATTCCACGACCATGGCTAAACAAGAAGGGGCTGTATTCTTACCCTCTTACCAAAAATAGCATTTTCACCATTGAAGCTTCCCAAAGAACTCTCAGCTGTTTGCTAACCATGAAAATCAATCCTTGGAGTTCCAGAGGCGGCCAGTCCCCAACTTCCCAGTGGTCACTGTGTAACCCCTGCCCTACCTCATCTTCAGAAACCCCATCATCACTGCGCCAAACCCCAAAGGGAAGTGGAGATGAAGGAAGGGAATTAGCTATGAGCAGCTTAGAAGAGCTAACCCGGGGGTGGCTTCTCAAGCAGAACTCACATGCTTACAAAGGGGCTTCAATAGATCCTTTACCCTTTTCACTTAACACTTTTAAAAATGGTATCACGCTGGCCTAGCGCAGTGGCTCATGCTTGTAATCCCAGCACTTTGGGAGGCTGACGCAGGCGGATCACCTGAGGTCAGGAGTTCAAGACCAGCCTGCTAACACGGTGAAACCCCATTTCTACTAAAAATACAAAAAATTAGCCGGGCGTGGTGGCGTGTGCCTGTAATCCCAGCTACTCAGGAGGCTGAGGCAGGAGAATCGCTTGAACCCGGGAGGCGGAGATTGCAGTGAGCCGAGATGGCGCCATTGCACTCCAGCTTGGGCAACAAGCGCAAAACTCCATCTCAAAAAAAAAAAAAAAAAAAAAAGGTATCACTTATAAACTGGATTAACAGTGTGAAAAAAATTTAATGCCTACTGACTATATTTCCTGACTGCCTGCACACAAACTCTGACAGGTAGAGATTGCTATTGTCCCATTTTACAGACAAGAAAACTGAGGCCCAGTGAGGTGAATGACTCACTCAAGGTCATGTTGTAATAAGTAGTGCTGCTGGGTCTGATTTTTTTCATTGCACTGTTCTATCTTTTGCAAGCACCCTGAAGGAATTTTATTTTTTTATTTTATTTTTTTGAGATGGAGTCTTGCTCTGTCGCCCAGGCTGGAGTGCAGTGGTGCGAACTCGGCTCACTGCAAATTCCACCTCCCGGGTTCACGTCATTCTCCTGCCTCAGCCTCCTGAGTAGCTGGGACCACAGGCACCTGCCACCATGCCTGGCTAATTTTTTTGTATTTTTAGTAGAGACGGGGTTTCACCGTGTTAGCCAGGATGGTCTCGATCTGTGCCCGGTGCCTGAAGGAATTAAAGATTCAAATTCCTGCCACAATCCTGCACTGGGGCATGGTGTTCTTTCTTACTGTGTCATTCAAGTTGCAAAATCCATACATATTCTTGTAACTAAGCAAATATCTCCAATGCCATCTCCTGAGGTGAGCAATATTAACAGTTTTGTGAGTTTTTTTCCTATTATTTTCCCTAGGAAGATACGAATAGTTACAAATTAAAAATTCGTAGAGGGATTCCCACCTCCATTTACAAAATTTTAATTAAAAGCAAAAATCAGGCTAGGCGTGGCAGCTCACATCTGTAATCCCAGCACTTTGGGAGTCTGTGGTCAGAGGATTGCTTGAGGCCAGGAGTTTGAGACCAGCCTGTGCAACATAGGCAGACTCTGTCTCTACAAAATATTTTTAAAAATTAGCTGGGCATGGTGACTCCAGCTACTCAGGAGGCTGAGGCAGGAGGATTGTGTGAGCCCGGGAGGTCAAGACTGCAGTGAGCCGTGATCACGCCACTGCACTCCAGCCTGGATGACAGAGTGAGACCCAGTCTGTAAAAACAAAAAAGCAAAAATCACATTACACAATTAGTTTGTAAACTACATTTTCCCTTAGCCACATATCATGATCATTTTGACAAGTAATATTGATTCATCTCACTTCATCTCACTCTTAATAGCAGTTCAATATTTCATAGTATAGAATATGCTATGGATTATTCAACCGCCCCCATATTGGTAGACATCCAGGGTGTTTCTAGTGATTTTTGCTATTATCAATAATATTGTGATAAACATCTCTGTAAATATTATAAACTAGTAGGCTGTAATCCCAGCACTTTGGGAGGCCGAGGCCAGCGGATCGCTTGTGGTCCAGAGTTCAAGACCAGCTTGGGCAACATGGTGAAATCTCATCTCTACAAAAAAATACTTAAAATTAGCTGAGCATGATGGCATTCGCCTATAGTCCCAGCTACTCAAGAGGCTGAGGCAGGAGAGAGAGGATCGCTTGAGTCCAGGAGGCAGAGGTTGCAGTGAGATGAGATCGTGCCACTGCACTCCAGCCTGAGCAACAGAAATGAAACCTTGTCTCAAAAAAAAAAAAAAAAAAAAGAAACTAGTGTTTTACTTTTGTGGGAGATAGTCCTAAAAGTAGGATAGTTAAATCAAAAGATAGACACTTTAAAACTGGACACAAACTAAATTACCAACAATAGGAGATTTAAAAAAAAAGTTTTTTGGACTGGGTTTCAATTCATCACTCAGGTTGAAGTACAGTGGCGCAATCATGGCTCACTGCAGTCTTGAACTCCTGGGCTCAAGTGATCCTCCTTGCCTCAGCCTCTAGAATAGCTGGAACTGCAAGTGTGCGCCATAGAGATGGGGTCTTGCTAGGTTGCCGAGGCTGGTCTTGGACTCCGGGCCTCAAGTGATCCTCCAACCTCAGCCTCCCGAGTTACTAGGATTACAGTCGTGAGCCACCTTGCCTGGCAACAATAGAAGATTGATTAAGCACATTGCACACAATGGAATACCCACTACATATAATGACAATTTTTAATTTATTTAGAAAAATGTTTTTTTAGAGCTGTTTAAAGAAAAGCCATGTTACAAACAGTACATATAGTATTACCCTATTTTATAAAAATATATGCAGAGAATAAAAGACTTTGAGAAAGAATAAACACTGAAATATTAACAGTGGTTGTTTCTGGGTTACAGGTGCCTTTTCTTTTTTTTTTCTTTTTTCTTTTTTTGAAATGGAGTGTTGCTCAGTTGCCCAGGCTAGAGTACAGTGGCACAACCTCGGCTCACTGCATCCTCCTCTGCTGGGTTCAAACGATTCTCCTGCCTCGGTCTTCCAAGTAGCTGGGACTACAGGCGTGCACCACCAACCCTGGCTAATTTTTGTATTTTTAGTAGAGATGGGGTTTCATCCTGTTGGTCAGGCTGGTCTCAAACTCCTGACCTCAAGTGATCCACCCACCTCGGCCTCCCAAAGTGCCGGGATTACAGGCGTGAGCCACTGCACCTAGCCAAAGTACAATTTCTGACATGCATACATTTTGGTGGCACAGCATAAATTCTTTTTTAAAAATCCTTTTTTTTTTTTTTGAGACAGAGTCTTGCCCTGTCACCCAGGCTGGAGTGTAGCGGTGCTATCTCGGCTCACTGCAACTTCCACCTCCTGGGTTCAAGCAATTCTCCTGCCTCAGCCTCCCGAGTAGCTGGGACTACAGGCGTGTGTCACCATGCCCAGCTAATTTTTGTATTTTTAGTAGAGACGGGGTTTCATCATGTTGGCTAGGCTGGTCTTGAACTCCTGACCTCAGGTGACCTGCCTGCCTTGGCATCCCAAAGTGCTGGGATTACAGGAGTGAGCCACTGTGCCTGCCTTTCCTTTTCTTGTTTTGGCTTGTCTATGTTTTCTACTGCCTCTGCAGCAATGTGTTAGACTCTCTTGGGCTGCAGGGAGAAGAGACCAGCTCAGGTGCTGTACTTGGCAAGTGAGTGGTCATTTCAAGGCTCCATGCGGAGGTGAGGCGTCCGGGAGGCTGGCACCTTAATTGGGAAAATGAGAGCTCTGGCAGCTTGGCAGCCGCTAGAAGCAAAGATGTGAGCACCACTTTACCCTGCAAAGGCAGTGGGACTGCTCTTGCTCCAAGGGGCGCCATCATAGGTATGTCTTTGCCCATTTTTGCCTTGGCTTCTGATTCACCCTTGAGTCTCTGCTTCTCTTGTCGCTCCCAAAGCCTGTCTCCATTCTCCCCTCCTCTCGAAGGCTGTCCTCATGCATGATTCTTCCATGGCCTCTGCTTAGTGCCTCCTGTGTCCACCTTCTTTGAGGGCCTTACACTCCCTTCAAATCCCCCAAGAAACACTATCTGATTGGGTGGTTAGTATTGGTAGCTGCTGTTGGTCACAGCGCTGGCCCCAGGCCATGTTAGAGGGCACTGCTCAGTCAGCAGTTGGCTGCCTTTGTTTCTATAAGGGTCCCTGGCCTGGTCAGTTCTACTAGGGTGGTGAGATTATGCTGCATGTCAGTTATCCACTGCTACTGCCGTACTCTAATACCTGTATTAGTTTGCTAGGGCTGCCGTAACAAAGTACCACAAGTTACTACTGTCTCTGGGCTGGCTGTGACAGAGCAGAAAATCAAAGCTGCCCACAGGCCGGGTACGGTGGCTCATGCCTGTAATCCCAGCACTTTGGGAGGTTGAGGTGGGCGGATCACAAGGTCAGGAGATTGAGACCATCCTGGCGAACACAGTGAAACCCCGTCTCTACTAAAAATACAAAAAATTGGCCAGGCGTGGTGGCACGTGCCTGTAGTCCCAGCTACTCGGGGGTGGAGGCAGGAGAATCGCTTGAACCCGGGAGGCAGAGGTTGCAGTGAGCCAAGACCACGCCACTGCACTACAGCCTGGGCAGCAGAGTGAGATTCCATCTCAAAAAAAAAAAAAAAAGCTGCCCACCAAATACTAGCTCCCTTCCTGGACTACGTTTTCATAGGTCTAGTCTAAGACACCCTGAGGTGGAAAGAATTTCCTAGAGAAGACAAAATGTCTTGGAGAAAGGTGAAAGGCAAAGGGTACATCCCCTCAGGGAAGGGGCGCCATGAGGAGGGAGAGGTCTGTGGCTTAAACCACAGAAATGTGTTGTTTCACAGTTCTGGAGGCTGAAGTCTGAGATCAGGGTATTGGCTGGATGGCCTCCCTGTGAGCTCTGTGAGGATCTGTTCCATGCTGCTCCCCTGCTTGTGGTTTGCAGGCAATCTTTCGAGCTCCTTGGCTTGTAGAAACATTGCCCAATCTCTGCCCTCATCTTCACATGGCTTTCTCCTTGTGTGTGTGTCGTGTGTGTGTGTGTGTGTGTGTCTGTCTGTCTGTCTGTCTGTCTGTCTGTCTGTCTGTCTCTGGGTCCAAACCCTCCTTTTTAATAAAGACAGCAGTCATATTGAATTAGGGATTAGGAGGCATTTACATCAAACAGTACTGCTTTGGCCACCATGAAATTCTAAGATTAGCCTGCCTGCTGATTTGGTAGTAATTTAGAATTTATTTCATCACTTTCTCCTGAATACTCTAATATGTAATTACACATGTATGTCAGCTGATAGTTTTGCCATTAAATGCAATTAGAATCAGCTTTATGATTTCTCAAATTTAATCTCCTCCTAAACCATTCCATACCCAAGACAAAAAAGACCTTGACCTAGGGCAGGTCCAGCCCCACAATGAGGTGGGCCACAGGGCTCCCATCTCCCTGAATTCTGAACTAAGTAATGCTATGAGTAACCTAGTTGAATAATACTGTGGGAGTAAATCTGTTTCCATCCTCTGGCCTAAGATCTCAGCCTCCATGTATGGTATTGTTCCCATGGGAAAATGCATTCCAAATTCCAAACGACTGATTTGCATGTGAACTTTCACTCTGGAAGTTAGTGACTGCCAGAATATATTCTCCTGTGGCTCAGTCTACCAATAGCTTCTCACGAGTCCTGTTCTCTGTCCACCTCCTCACCTCCCACCTCCCCTATATGTACCCTCAATATTGACATGGTACCTCTATTAGTTTGTTCTCACGCTGTTAATAAAGACACACCTGAGACTGGGTAATTTATAAAGGAAAGAGGTTTAATTGACTCACAGTTCCAGATGGCTGGGGACACCTCACAATCATGGCGGAAGAGCAAGGGATGTCTTACATGGCAGCAGGCAAGAGAGAGCATCTGCAGGGGAACTCTCCTTTATAAAACCATCAGATCTTGTGAGACTTCTTCACTATCACGAGAACAACACGGGAAAGACCCGCCCCCATGATTCGGTTATCCACCAGGTCCCTCCCATGACATGTGGGAATTGTGGGAGCTACAATTCAAGATGAGATTTGGGTGGGGGCACAGCCAAACCATATCAGTACCTCAAAGTGAAGCTTCACCCAGGTGTTCTCTGTCCCTCCCTTGAGCCATTGTATCCTTAGGCCTGAGCTACGGTGTTCATCTTGTTTTACCTGGGTTGTAGAGAGCTGTGCATGAGAGTCTTCACCCTCTTACAAAATCTTAGGATTCTTGAGAGTGAAACTGTATTTCCCACATCTTTGTATCCTTCCAGGAAGAGTATGAGGTATATAGGATTTATGAAGCATCTACTATGTGCCAGGCTCTGAAACAGTGCTTTCTAGCATACTTATTATTATTATTGAGACAGAGTTTCACTCTTGTCACCCAGGCTGGAGTGCAGTGGCATGATCTTGGCTCACTGCAACCTCCGCCTCCTGGGTTGAAGCAATTCTCCTGCCTCAGCCTCCTGAGTAGCTGGGATTACAGGCGCGCACCACCACGCCCAGCTAATTTTTGTATTTTTAGTAGAGATGGGGTTTCGCCATGCTGGCCAGGCTTGTCTCCAACTCCTGACCTCAGGTGATCCAACCACCTGGGCCTACCAAAGTGCTGGGATTGCAGGTATGAGCCACTGTGCCTGGCCTATTTTTTTTTTTAATTTATCTTCCAGATTTTAGCCCAGGACCTGGTACATAGCAGATGCTCAGTAGATCATTCTCAAAAAGGTTTTAAATCCCCAGCCTGCATGCAGCCTCCTTTCCCTCAGTCTCCTGGCCACTTGTGCATGTTTTCCCCAAGCTCCCTAACTCATGGGGGTAACTCAGGCTGCCCTTGCCTTCCTCAGGGCTGAGGGAACTGGGAAGGTGGCAAGATTAGCAACCTAGAAACAGTTGCCTGGCATCTGAGGGAAAGCCAGCCCTCTCCTCTCCACCTCCCATCCCAGCAGATGGGTTCTAGTGAGTTTGTGGGCTCCCTTGCTCCAACAAAAACGGGAACAGATTGGATCCCCAGGACTCACAATGTGGGAACACGTGCAGTGGGTGGAAATGTCAGTTCACAAACTCAGGTGCACATGAAGTTTAACTTTGTGTTTTACAAATCAGCTAGTCTGCTAAACTGGGGGGAACTTAACCCCGGTTCTTGAAGATGTGTTCCCTGCTCCTCCCTGACCCATAGCCCCATGGTTGTTCTCTGGGTCTGGAATCTTAGGCTGTGTGCAAAGCATTTCTTCATTGGACACATGTCCACATGGTTGCTGCTGAGACATCCGCCATCCCTGCTCCATAGGCTCAGGCCCAGAGTCTCGGCAAATTCCATCTAAGTGACCCCCGCCCCATGACACTCTTCTGTGATCCTTCTCTGGGTTCATGTGTGTGGCTTCTGGGGTCTACTAGGGAGACAGGCCAGGTCTGCTCTGTTCCTGGGACCCATGACCTCTCCCTCCTCATAGCCCCTCTGCCCTGGGTGGATGAACCCTTTGTCTTTCATCTTTCTCCAAGACATTTTGTCTTCTCTATGAAATTCTTTCTACCTCAGGGAGTCTTAGACTAGACCTATGAAAATGTAGTCCAGGAAGGGAGTTAGTGTTTGGTGGGCAACTTTTATTTTCTGCTCTGTCACAGCCCTGCCCAGAGCCCACTACTTGCACATTTGGAGGAATAGAAAAGAGAAAAATACGGGGGAGGAGCCAAGATGGCCGAATAGGAACAGCTCCAGTCTACAGCTCCCAGCATGAGCGATGCAAAAGATGGGTGATTTCTGCATTTCCATCTGAGGTACCGGGTTCATCTCACTAGGGAGTGCCAGACAGTGGGCGCAGGTCAGTGGGTGCGTGCATCATGCGCCAGCCAAAGCAGGGCGAGGCATTGCCTTACTTGGGAAGTGCAAGGGGTCAGGGAGTTCCATTTCCTAGTCAAAGAAAAGGGTGACAGAAGCCACCTGGAAAATCGGGTCACTCCCACCTGAATACTGCGCTTTTCCGACGGGCTTAAAAAACGGCGCACGAGGAGATTATAACCCACACCTGGCTCAGAGGGTCCTACGCCCACGGAGTCTCACTGATTGCTAGCACAGCAGTCTGAGATCAAACTGCAAGGCGGCAGCGAGGCTGGGGGAGGGGCGCCCGCCATTGCCCAGGCTTCCTTAGGTAAACAAAGCAGCCAGGAAGCTCGAACAGGGTGGAGCCCACCACAGCTCAAGGAGGCCTGCCTGCCTCTGTAGGCTCCACCTCTGGGGGCAGGGCACAGACAAACAAAAAGACAGCAGTAACCTCTACAGACTTAAATGTCCCTGTCTGACAGCTTTGAAGAGAGCAGTGGTTCTCCCAGCATGCAGCTGGAGATCTGAGAACGGGCAGACTGCCTCCTCAAGTGGGTCCCTGATGCCTGACCTCCGGGCAGCCTAACTGGGAGGCACCCCCCAGCAGGGGCAGACTGACACCTCACACGGCCGGCCGGGTACTCCAACAGACCTGCAGCTGAGCGTCCTGTCTGTTAGAAGGAAAACTAACAAACAGAAAGGATATCCACACCAAAAACCCATCTGTACATCACCATCATCGAAGACCAAAAGTAGATAAAACCACAAAGATGGGGAAAAAACAGAGCAGAAAAAATGGAAACTCTAAAAAGCAGAGCGCCTCACCTCCTCCAAAGGAACGCAGTTCCTCACCAGCAACGGAACAAATGACTTTGACGAGCTGAGAGAAGGAGGCTTCAGACGATCAAATTACTCCGAGCTACGGGAGGACATTCAAACCAATGGCAAGGAAGTTGAAAACTTTGAAAAAAATTTAGAAGAATGTATAACTAGAATAACTAATACAGAGAAGTGCTTAAAGGAGCTGATGGAGCTGAAAACCAAGGCTCGAGAACTACGTGAAGAATGCAGAAGCCTCAGGAGCTGATGCGATCAACTGGAAGAAAGGGTATCAGTGATGGAAGATGAAATGAATGAAATGAAGAGAGAAGGGAAGTTTAGAGAAAAAAGAATAAAAAGAAATGAGCAAAGCCTCCAAGAAATATGCGACTATGTGAAAAAACCAAATCTACGTCTGATTGGTGTACCTGAAAGTGACGGGGAGAATGGAACCAAATTGGAAAACACTCTGCAGGATATTATCCAGGAGAACTTCCCCAATCTAGCAAGGCAGGCCAACGTTCAGATTCAGGAAATACAGAGAACGCCACAAAGATACTCCTCGAGAAGAGCAACTCCAAGACACATAATTGTCAGATTCACCAAAGTTGAAATGAAGGAAAAATGTTAAGGGCAGCCAGAGAGAAAGGTTGGGTTACCCTCAAAGGGAAGCCCATCAGACTAACAGCGGATCTCTCGGCAGAAACTCTACAAGCCAGAAGAGAGTGGGGGCCAATATTCAACATTCTTAAAGAAAAGAATTTTCAACCCAGAATTTCATATCCAGCCAAACTAAGCTTCATAAGTGAAGGAGAAATAAAATACTTTACAGACAAGCAAATGCTGAGAGATTTTCTCACCACCAGGCCTGCCCTAAAAGAGCTCCTGAAGGAAGCGCTAAACATGGAAAGGAACAACCGGTACCAGCTGCTGCAAAATCATGCCCAAAATGTAAAGACCATCGAGACTAGGAAGAAACTGCATGAACTATCGAGCAAAATAACCAGCTAACATCATAATGACAGGATCAAATTCACACATAACAATATTAACTTTAAATGTAAATGGACTAAATGCTCCAATTAAAAGACACAGACTGGCAAATTGGATAAAGAGTCAAGACCCATCAGTGTGCTGTATTCAGGAAACCCATCTCACATGCAGAGACACACATAGGCTCAAAATAAAAGTATGGAGGAAGATCTATCAAGCAAATGGAAAACAAAAAAAGGCAGGGGTTGCAATCCTAGGCTCTGATAAAACAGACTTTAAACCAACAAAGATCAAAAGAGACAAAGAAGGCCATTACATAATGGTAAAGGGATCAATTCAACAAGAAGAGCTGACTATCCTAAATATATATGCACCCAATACAGGAGCACCCAGATTCATAAAGCAAGTCCTGAGTGACCTACAAGGAGACTTAGACTCCCACACATTAATAATGGGAGACTTTAACACCCCACTGTCAACATTAGACAGATCAATGAGACAGAAAGTCAACAAGGATACCCAGGAATTGAACTCAGCTCTGCACCAACTGGACCTAATAGATATCTACAGAACTCTCCACCCCAAATCAACAGAATATACATTTTTTTCAGCACCACACCACACCTATTCCAAAATTGACCACATACTTGGAAGTAAAGCTCTCCTCAGCAAATGTAAAAGAACAGAAATTATAACAAACTATCTCTCAGACCACAGTGCAATCAAACTAGAACTCAGGATTAAGAATCTCACTTAAAACCGCTCAACTACATGGAAACTGAACAACCTGCTCTTGAATGACTACTGGGTACATAACGAAATGAAGGCAGAAATAAAGATGTTCTTTGAAACCAACGAGAACAAAGACACAACATACCAGAATCTCTGGGACGCATTCAAAGCAGTGTGTAGAGGGAAATTTATAGCACTAAATGCCCACAAGAGAAAGCAGGAAAGATCCAAAATTGAAACCCTAACATCACAATTAAAAGAACTAGAAAAGCAAGAGCAAACACATTCAAAAGCTAGCAGAAGGCAAGAAATAACTAAAATCAGAGCAGAACTGAAGGAAATAGAGACACAAAAAACCCTTCAAAAATTAATGAATCCAGGAGCTGGTTTTTTGAAAGGATCAACAAAATTGATAAACCGCTAGCAAGACTAATAAGAAAAAAAGAGAGAAGAATCAAATAGATGCAATAAAAAATGATAAAGGGGATATCACCACCGATCCCACAGAACTACAAACTACCATCAGAGAATACTACAAACACCTCTACGCAAATAAAACTAGAAAATCTAGAAGAAATGGATAAATTCCTCGACACATACACTCTCCCAAGACTAAACCAGGAAGAAGTTGAATCTCTGAATAGACCAATAACAGGAGCTGAAATTGTGGCAATAATCAATAGCTTACCAACCAAAAAGAGTCCAGGACCAGATGGATTCACAGCCAAATTCTACCAGAGGTACAAGGAGGAACTGGTACCATTCCTTCTGAAACTATTCCAATCAATAGAAAAAGAGGGAATCCTCCCTAACTCATTTTATGAGGCCAGCATCATCCTGATACCAAAGCCGGGCAGAGACACAACCAAAAAAGAGAATTTTAGACCAATATCCTTGATGAACATCGATGCAAAAATCCTCAGTAAAATACTGGCAAACCAAATCCAGCAGCACATCAAAAAGCTTATCCACCATGATCAAGTGGACTTCATCCCTGGGATGCAAGGCTGGTTCAATATACGCAAATCAATAAACGTAATCCAGCACATAAACAGAACCAAAGACAAAAACCACATGATTATCTCAATAGATGCAGAAAAGGCCTTTGACAAAATTCAACAAATCTTCATGCTAAAAACTCTCAATAAATTAGGTACTGATGGGACGTATTTCAAAATAATAAGAGCTATCTATGACAAACCCACAGCCAATATCATACTGAATGGGCAAAAACTGGAAGCATTTCCTTTGAAAACTGGCACAAGACAGGGATGCCCTCTCTCACCACTCCTATTCAACATAGTGTTGGAAGTTCTGGCCAGGGCAATCAGGCAGGAGAAGGAAATAAAGGGTATTCAATTAGGAAAAGAGGAAGTCAAATTGTCGCTGTTTGCAGGTGACATGATTGTATATCTAGAAAACCCCATTGTCTCAGCCCAAAATCTCCTTAAGCTGATAAGCAACTTCAGCAAAGTCTCAGGATACAAAATCAATGTACAAAAATCACAAGCATTCTCATACACCAACAACAGACAGAGAGCCAAATCATGAGTGAACTCCCATTCACAATTGCTTCAAAGAGAATAAAATACCTAGGAATACAACTTACAAGGGATGTGAAGGACCTCTTCAAGGAGAACTACAAACCACTGCTCAAGGAAATAAAAGAGGATACAAACAAATGGAAGAACACTCCATGCTCATGAGTAGGAAGAATCAATATTGTGAAAATGGCCATACTGCCCAAGGTAATTTATAGATTCAATGCCATCCCCATCAAGCTACCAATGACTTTCTTCACAGAATTGGAAAAAACTAAAGTTCATATGGAACCAAAAAAGAGCCTGCATCGCCAAGTCAATCCTAAGCCAAAAGAACAAAGCTGGAGGCGTCACACTACCTGACTTCAAACTATACTACAAGGCTACAGTAACCAAAACAGCATGGTACTGGTACCAAAACAGAGATATAGATCAATGGAACAGAACAGAGCCCTCAGAAATAACGCCGCATATCTACAACTATCTGATCTTTGACAAACCTGAGAAAAACAAGCAATGGGGAAAGGATTCCCTATTTAATAAATGGTGCTGGGAAAACGGGCTAGCCATATGTAGAAAGCTGAAACTGCATCCCTTCCTTACACCTTATACAAAAATCAATTCAAGGTGGATTAAAGACTTAAACGTTAGACCTAAAACCATAAAAACCCTAGAAGAAAACCTAGGCTTTACCATTCAGGACATAGGCATGGGCAAGGACTTCATGTCTAAAACACCAAAAGCAATGGCAACAAAAGCCAAAATTGACAAATGGGATCTAATTAAACTAAAGAGCTTCTGAACAGCAAAAGAAACTACCATCAGAGTGAACAGGCAACCTACAAAATGGGAGGAAATTTTCACAACCTACTCATCTGACAAGGGGCTAATATCCAGAATCTACAATGAACTCAAACAAATTTACAAGAAAAAAACAAACAACCCCATCAAAAAGTGGGCGAAGGACGTGAACAGACACTTCTCAAAAGAAGACATTTATGCAGCCAAAAAACACATGAAAAAATGCTCACCATCACTGGCCATCAGAGAAATGCAAATCAAAACCACAATGAGATACCATCTCACACCAGTTAGAATGGCAATCATTAAAAAGTCAGGAAACAACAGGTGCTGGAGAGGATGTGGAGAAATAGGAACACTTTTACACTGTTGGTGGGACTGTAAACTAGTTCAACCATTGTGGAATTCAGTGTGGCGATTCCTCAGGGCTCTAGAACTAGAAATACCATTTGACCCAGCCATCCCATTACTGGGTATATACCCAAAGGACTATAAATCATGCTGCTATAAAGACACATGCACACCTATGTTTATTGCGGCATTATTCACAATAGCAAAGACTTGGAACCTACCCAGATGTCCAACAATGATAGACTGGATTAAGAAAATGTGGCACATATACACCATGGAATACCATGCAACTATAAAAAATGATGAGTTCATGTCCTTTGTAGGGACATGGATGAAACTGGAAATCATCACTCTCAGTAAACTATCGCAAGAACAAAAAACCAAACTCTGCATATTCTCACTCATAGGTGGGAATTGAACAATGAGAACACATGGACACAGGAAGGGGAACATCACACTCTGGGGCCTGTTGTGGGTTGGGGGAAGTGGGGAGGGATAGCATTGGGAGATATACCTAATGCTAGATGACGAGTTAGTGGGTGCAGCACACCAGCATGGCACATGTATACATATGTAACTAACCTGCACATTGTGCACATGTACCCTAAAACTTAAAGTATAATAATAATAAAAAATTAAAAAAAGGAAAAAAAAAGAAAAGAGAAAAATACAAAGAGGAGGGGAACAAAACTCATAGATGAATATATCAAAATATTTATCCCAAGCTGATATACCTTGTAGATTGCCTTCAACTCTAGATCTCCTCCTCCTCCTTCTTCTTCTCCTCTTCCTCCTCCTCCTTCTCCCCCTCCTCCTTCTCCCTCCTCTTCCTCCTCCTCTCCTCCTCCTCCCCCTCCTCCTTCTCCTCCTCCCTCTCCTCCTCCTCCTTCTCCTTCCTCCTCCTCCTCCTCCTTCCGCCTCCTCGTCTCCTCCTCCTCTCCTCCTCCTTCTTCCTCTTCTTCTTTTCTTCCTCTTCCTCTCCTCCTCCTTCCTCTTTCCCTTCCCCTCCTCCCTCCTCTTCCTCCTTCCTCTTTCTTTTCCTCCCCCTCCCCCTTCTTCCTCTCCTTCTCCTTCTCCTTCTCCTCCTCCTCCTTCTTCTTCTTCTTTAAAAAAGAGATAGGGTCTTGATCTGTTGCCCAGGCTGAAGTGCAGTGGCACAAAGATAGCTCACCCTAACCTTGAATTCCTGGGCTAAAGTAATCCTCCCACCTCAGCCTCCTCAGTAGCTGGGACTACAGGCATGAGCCACCATGCCCAGCCCAAACCCCAGCTCTTCTGCTGAAAGCAAACTTGCCCCCCTAGGGTGCTAGAAGAGCTCAGGCAGGGTTGGCTGCCACCTTCTGAGGGACTGTATGTCTTACTTCTGTCTGTCTTCTCCACAGCCCTGTTGGTTACCTTTTCCTAGCTACTCCCATGGTTTTGGGAAGAACATTTGTCAGAATGGTGAAGGGAGGGCCCCTGGGGCTCATCCCAGTGGTCAGCATAGGCATCAAAGCAGATTACGGCAAGCCGTGGAATATGTACTAGTGGAGGAAACAAATGGTGCTGGGCAAATTAAGAAAGAAGGTATAGGCCGGGCGCCGTGGCTTATGCCTGTAATACCAGCACTTTGGGAAGTTGAGGCGGGTGGATCACTTGAGGCCAGGAGCTTGAGGCCAGCCTGGCCAACACAGTGAAACCTTACCTCTACTAAAAATGCAAAAAAAGAAAAAAAGAAAAAAAAAATTAGCCAGGCTTTGTGGCACACACCTGTAGTCCCAGCTACTTGGGAGGCTGAGGCATGAGAGTCACTTGAACCCGGGAGGCAGAGGCTAGAGTGAGCCAAGATCACCCCACTGTACTCCAGTCTGGGCGACAGAGCAAGACTCTGTCTCGAAAAAGAAAAGAAAAAACAAAAAGTCTCCAAAATAAATAAATAAATAAATAAATAAATAAATAAATAAATAAATAAGAAAGAAAGAAAGAAAAGGAAATAAAAAAGAAAGAGAGAAGGTATAAATTTCCAGGTGGGAAGTAACCAGGACAGGAAATCTTCATGGAGGAGGTGGCACTCGGTGTAAGGATTTAGAAGAGATAAGACGGAGGGAAGGCAGGAATGATGGTCTAATTGGGGAGCAGAGAGGGTGTACTTGGAGCATGTGCTTCAATAAGAAAAGTGTCTCAGTTTTTAAGCTAATGTTGACCTGGTAAAAAGATGTTTGAGGGAGTAGGGTAAAAGCAAGACTATAGTGTTATGGAGAAGGTGGCTGAAATCCTCAATAGTGTCACTGAGTGGTCCTAAGCAGGCTCTGGATCCAGGCTGCCAGGGTTCAAATCCTGGCTATGCTATGCAGCTGCTGCATGTTCTTCAGCAGGTTACAAAACCCCTCTGTCCCTTGAGTCCTCAGCTATGATGTGGAGACAATAATGTACTGGTGTCCAAAAGTGGCTATGAGGATAAGTTTAGAAGTTTAGAAGTATAAAGGGCTTAGATGAGTGCTCGGCACATAGTAATGCTCACTGTATGTTTAGCAATAATGGTGATGGTGATGGATAAGATAAAGATGGACGCCCCTCCCAACCAAACACCCGGGTGACCTCTGGTTCCGACCCCCTCCAGGCCCTCCTGCCCTGATGTTTGACCTCAGCTATGCCTCTGATTCCAGGTAGGGGAAGATGCTTATGCCCTTCCAGGTCTCAGGTTGCTTATTCTGTGACCATCTGACCCCTAGCAATGCTGTCTCAGCCCCTCCAGGCCAGGTCTGGGTGCCGTGGGCCCTGCTGATGAGGTGGTGTGTCATGCCTGGTCAGCAGGGCAGACCGAGGGGCAGAGCTGCTTTCCCCAGCAGGGGAATAGAGTTGCGCCTTGCCTCAACTCTGCCTCTCACTGGCCTCAGTTTTCTTCTTAGTGGACTCCTAGGACATCTACCCAGATGCCCGGACAGAGGCACAGGCTTGGCTCAGGTCTTCCAGCCAATGAATAGCCAAGGCCGGATTCACACTAGGACAGTCTGGCTTTTAACTGCTGCACTAAGAGTCACTGCAGTAGATCCAGACATCAAGGAAGGTTCCCAGAGTCCTGGTGCCTCTGTGCCCTTAGGCGGGTGAATACTGATGGGTGGAGACAGAATTGTTACAAATATATAATAAATAAGTTATAGTAAAGCAGAATTCAATCCGAAACTCAGAAGAAAAGCAGTCCCCTCCATTCTATTGCAAACCACCTCTAAACTTCGTGGCTTAAAACCACAAAACTCACATTTGCTCATGATTCTGCAACGTGGGCAGAGCTCGGCAGCGGCAGTTCATCTCTGTTCCACATGGCATCAGCTGAGGCTGCTCCACCGAGGCTGCAGGATCCAGTTCCAGAATGGCACACTCACGTCACTGGAAGTTGATGCTGGCTGGCAGCCAGGGCCTCCTCTTGGCCTCCTTACACAGTTAAGTTAAACTTCTGCAGCACAATAGTTGGGTTCCAAGTGGGAGCATCCCAGGAGGAAGCATCCCAGGCCAGGGGTAGGCACTTTTCAAGCCTCTGCTGGCATCTTCTTGCTAGAGCCCTATTGGCCAAAGCTTGTCAGCTGACCAAGCCCAGAGTCAGTGTGGGAGGAGACTACACACAGTGGTGAATACTGGGAGCTGTGGTTTACCGAAGTGTCTGTCTGTCTGAACTTCTTTTTCCTAAGGCTCGCTTTGGTGCTCCTCACATTCTCCCATCAGCCTCCTCTGAAACCTGGTTCCATCCAGTATCCTCTCTCTCACCTCGTCCATTGCTCCTTCTTCAACGAATCCCTCCTTTCAGCCAACAGACCCACTCAAGCCACAGCTATCCCCGAACAGCTCCGTTCAGCCCTGCGTCTCCCTCAGGGTGCCGTCCTGTCTCCCTCCATTCCTTTGCTTCCAAAACCCTTCAAATAGCTGCTGAATGCTGGAAGCAGAAAAAGTTCCCTAAAGCCAATTTGCTACATTTATGAAATATTCTAGGCTGGGCACTGTGTCTCACGCCTGTAATCCCAACACTTTGGGAGGCCAAGGCGGGCGGATCACAAGGTCAAGAGATCAAGACCACCCTGACCAACATGGTGAAACCCCGCCTCTCCTAAAAATACAAAAATTATCTGGGTGTGGTGGCACGCACCTGTAGTCCCAGCTTCTTGGGAGGCTGAGGCAGGAGAATCGCTTGAATCCAGGAGGCAGAGGTTGTAGTGAGCCAAGATCGTGCCACTGCACTCCAGCCCGGCAACAGAGCCAGACTCTGCCTCAAAAAAAAAAAAAAAAAAAAAGTGAAATATTCTGATTTGTCCATTCTAAAGAATTTTTTCTTTAATGTTTTCAATGAATACGAATATATACTGTTAATGAATGCATTAGTAAATATATTCAAGAATATACTCTTATGAATATAAATAAAAATCTATTGATAAGAAGTCTAAACTACTCGATGACTCTTAGGTTCCAGCAAGCCCATAGTCTGTGAATAGATTCACAAGTGGAATATATTCATATTCACTGAGAAAAACTTTCTTCAAAATTTTTGACAAATTTGCCAAAATTGGCACACATCTCTTAATTAAAAAATTTCATCCCTCCTTTCTTCCATCCATTCATCCATCCAACGGATATTTATTTGAATGCCATGACATGCTCAGCACTGGGGCATAGTGTGGTTGAACACAGACCCAGCCCCGGCCCTCATAGAGTTTACAGTCTAGTAGGGGAGACAGTTACTCATTAAGTGATCATTTCAAACAAACCCTGAAACTGGCCGGGTGCCATGACTCATGCCTGTAATCCCAGCACTTTTGGAGGCCAAGATGAGAGGATCACTTGAGGTCAGGAGTTCGAGACCAGCCTGGCCAACACGGTGAAACCCCGTCTCTACTAAAAATACAAAAATCAGCTGGGTGTGGTGGCGGGTGCCTGTAATCCCAGCTACTCCGGAGGCTGAGGCAGGAAAACTGCTTGAACCCAGGAGGTGGAAGTTGCAGCGAGCTGAGATCGCGCCACTGCACTCCAGCCTGGGTGACAGAGTGAGACTCTGTCTCAATTAAAAAAAAAAAAAGAACACTGAAATTGCAATCTTGACCAGTGCTACCATACCTTTTCCAGCTCATGACACGCCCTTTGGCACGCACTGCTTTGGAATTTTGATCATACTGCTCCCTTTGCTGGCAATGCTCTTTCCCGCTTTCCCTGCTTGGCATATGCAGCTTAATTTTAAGACCCCAGTCAACAGCGCTCACTGTGGCTCTGGCTCCTATCCCCAGGAAAGATGAACTGCTCCATTATTTATGTTCTAGCAGCACTTGGCATAAACTTCTAGCAGTGAACATATCAAACCATAATATATTATATCTGTGTCTCTTCTATTAGATCGTAAGTGCAATAGGGTCAAGAATTCTGTCTTCAGAGGCTTGGGTGGAGTGAGTGTGCATGTTTAAAAAGAGAGAAGTTTACAAAAATGTTTAAAAAGAAAGAAGTCGGGGGGTGGGGGGCGGGTGGGCAGGCGCAGTGGCTCACGCCTGTAATCCCAGCACTTTGGGAGGCAGAGGGGGCCAGATAGCTTGAGCTGAGTTTAAGACCAGCCTGGGCAACATGGTGAAATCCCATCTCTACAAAAACATACAAAAAAAAAAAAAAAAAATTAGCTGGCTGTGATGGCAAGCACCTGTAGTCCCAGCTACTCAGGAAGCAAAGGTGGGAGGATTGCTTGAGCCTGGGAGGTCGAGGCTGCAGTGAGCTGTGATCGCCCTTTGCACTCCAGCCTGGGAGACAGAGTGAGACCCTGCCTCAGAAAAAAAGGTATCCTTACCTGACATGGAAAAATTCCTCTGGGCACCCATTAGGGGACAGACACCTCCATTTACACTCATCCTTTTAAAGCCTCTTATAATTTGACCCACAATATAGACATCAAAAATAAGCTTGAGGGAGGCCCAGCAGCCATGGTGGCAGACAGGGCTGGCAGGTAAGGCTCTGGTGGCCACTGACTTGAGGGAGAGCAGCCTGCTGACCTCAGCCAGGGCTGCAGCAGTGGGGCCAGTGCCAGACAAGGTGCTCCAAGGGGCTAGGACCAAGTGCAGTCATCTTTGCCTCTCTGGCATCTAGCAGCATTGACTAGATGCTCACACACTCGAGAAATACGTGTTAAGTGAACGGTCCCTGTGACAATCAAGCAGACTTTTTTCTTTCCGATGACACACCTCCTCTGGCCGCCACTGTCACCCTGCAGAGCAGAATCACTCTTCTGCGGGGAAGCTGGAAGGGAAACAGGCCAGGACAGCCTGGGTGAAGCAGGACTGTGTTTTGATGAGCTGAGCAAGCCTGGGTGCGGGACCCTGAGGTTACGTAGCAGACCAGGGACCCCAAGGAAGACTGCATGGATTTTGTGGGCAAAATCAGTCCATTTCAGAAATAGTTGGTGGTTTAATTGAGCCTGTGGACCAACTTGCAAAAGCAGCAGAAAATGAGAAGAGGAAGGTAGTTGGTGCTTGGAACTTGCTCCAATTTATGGCAAAACACAGAGAAGCCCAACAGCAACAACTTCTAGCACAAACAGCAGAAGAGAAAATGTGGCTAAAAAGGTGGTGGATTGAATATGAAGCCTCGTGGAAAGTAGATGCACAGAAGGAAACACATTTATTGGCCAGTTTATTTTCAGATGTGACTAACGACCTGAGTATGTCGTGTGAGATGCAGTGTGAGGAATACAGCCTTTCTGAAGGTGATAATACAAATCTGGAGGGGGCTTGTTTTAAACTTTAGCGCATATCTGCTGGGGAACATTGGTGCCATGTAGCCGGCAGCCACGGCAGTACAGGTACTCATCTCTGGCATTCTTAGTCTGAACTGAACAGTCTGTAAACGTTGATCTTTTTGTTTTTTTGTTTTTGTTTTTGTTTTTTTTCTGTAAATTCACAAAGACTTGGAAGGAAGAGCAATAAATTATTGTTTTCCAAACAAATAAACTTGAGAGAAAAATAATCCTTTTTCTCTCTTTTTTTTTTGAGACGGAGTCTCGCTCTGTCGCCCAGGTTGGAGTGCAATGGCGCAATCTTGGCTCAGTGCAACCTCTGCCTCCCGAGTTCAAGTGATTCTCCTGCCTCAGCCTCCTGAGTAGCTGGGATTACAGGTGCCCACCACTATGCCCGGCTAATTTTTGTATTTTTAGTAGAGATGGGGTTTCACCATGTTAGGCTGGTCTCGAACTCCTGACCTCAGGTGATCCGCCTGCCTCGGCCTCCCAAAGTGCTGGGATTACATGCATGAGCCACTGTGCCCGGCTGAGAGAAAAATAATACTTTTATGTATATGCTTTTATAGGCACAAGATATCTCTAGAAATATCCATGAGGAACTCTCATATTTCATCAGATCTAAGATGCCCTCAATTATAAGATATACCATTGTTGCATGCACAAGAAAGAAAAAAGACTGCTAAACGGAGAGGCAAAAGATTCAGAATAGCCAACACAATGTTGAAGAAGAAGAAGAAGTCGGAGGACTGATACTACCCAACTTCAAGGCTTACTATAAAGCCACGGTAATCAAGAGACTGTGATATTGATAAAAGAATAGGCAAATAGATGAATAGAACAGAATAGAGAGCCCAGAAACAGACCCACATAGCTATACTCAACTGATGTTTGATAAAGGAGCAAGGATAATACAATGGAAAAAAAGACAGTATTTTCAACAAATGGTCCTGGAACAACTGGACATCCATATGCAAATAAAAAAAAAAAGAATTCAGACACAGACCTTGCACCCTTCATAAAAATGAAGTCGAAATGGCTCACAGACCTATATGTAAAGCACTAAACTATAAAACTTCTAGAAGACAACAAAGGAGGAAATCTGGATGATGTTGCGTATGGACATGACTTTTTTGATGCAACACCACAGGCATTAACCATGAAAGAAATCATTGATAAATTGGACTTCAATAAATTAGAGAAACTTCTGCTCTGTGAAAAACACTGTCAAGAGAATTAGAAGACAAGCCACCAACTGGGAAAAAGTATTTGGAAAAGACACCTGATAAAAGATTGTTATCCAAAATATACAAAGAACTGTTAAAGCTCAACAATAAGAAAATGAACAACCCAGCTGAAAAATGGACAAGCGACTGGAACAGACACCTCACCAAAGATTTTACAAATGAAGTAAGCATGTGAAAAGATGCTCCACATCATGTGTCATCAGGGAACTTCAAATTAGATCAACAATGCGAGGACCCAAACACGTGTGTTGCTCCACATCCTCACCAGCATTTAGTGTTGTCAGTGTTCTGGATTTGGGTCATCTCATTGAATCAGTGTGAATGAATGAACTCTCATTCATTGCTGATGGGAACGCAAAATGCTACAGGTTCTTCAGGCTCTTTGGAAGACAATTTGATGGTTTCTTTTCTTTTTTTTTTTTTTTTTTTTTGAGACAGGGGCTTGCCCTGTCACCCAGGCTGGAGTGCAGTGGCAAGATCACGGCTAACTGCAGTCTCTAACTCCTGGGCTCAAACAATCCTCCCACCTCAGCCTCCTGAATAGCTGGGACTACAGGCATGTGCTACCATACCAGGCTAATTTCTAAAACAAAAATTTTGTAGAGACAGAGTCTTCCTATGTTGCCCAGGCTGGTCTCAGACTCCTGGACTCGTGATCTTCCTACCTTGGACTTCCAAAGTGTTGAGATTGTAGGCATGAGTCACCACTCCCAGCCTAATTTGGCGGTTTCTTACAAAACTAAATATACTTTTACCATATGAACTAGCAATTGTGCTGCTTGGTATTGACCCAAATGAATTAAAAACTGGTGTCCACACAGAAATCTGCCCATGGATGTTTATAATCAGCTTTATTTATAATCATCAAAATGTGGAAGCAAGCAAGATGTCCTTCAGTAGGTGAATGTGTAAATAAACTATAGGTACTTCCAGACAATGGAATATTATTCAGCACTAAAAGAAATGGGCTTTGGGTGATAATAATGTGTCAATGTAGGTTCATTGATTATAACAAATTTACCTCTCTGTTGCAGAATGTTGATAGTGGGGGAGGCTGTGTATGTGTAGGGCCAGGGAGTGTATGAGAACGCTCTGTACTTCTAAATTTTGCTGTGAACTAAAACTGCTCTAAAAGATAAAGTCTATTTAAAAAAAGACTGCCAGTTAACTATATGACATGATGCCATAACGACAGCCTTGCATGACACATGATTGATCACACCAGCCCTTCATGGCTTTGAAATTTCTTGCATCTATTCTGAGAGATCTGGCAATTTCCCCAGTCTTAAATTGCATTGTCTGGCATGAATTTGAGTAGGTAACATTCCTTTTTCTCTTTTGGGTATCTTCCACTTTGGGGTCCTCAAATGGACCAAGCATGCATCAGCAGCATCAATATCACCAGAGGGCTTGTTAGAAACGTGGAATCTGAGGCCAGACGCCGTGGCTCACACCTGTAATCCCAGCACTTTGGGAGGCGGAGGTGGGCAGATCATGAGGTCAGGAGTTCGAGACCAGCCTGGCCAACATGGTGAAACCCTGTCTCTACTAAAAGTACAAAAAATTAGCCAGGCGTGGGGGTATGTGCCTGTAGTCCCAGCTACTTGGGAAGCTGAGGCAGGAGAATCGCTTGAACCCGGGAGGCTGAGGTTGCAGTTAGCAGAGATCGCACCATTGCACTCCAGCCTGGGTGACAGAGCAAGACTCCATCTCAAAAAAAAAAAAAAAAAAAAAAAAAGAAATGTGGAATCTGACCCATGCCAGACTTAGTGAATCAAAATCTGTGTTTTATCCAGATCCCAGCGGATTTGTGTGCACATTGCAGTCAGAGAGGTACTGCTGCTGAAAACCTCTCAATGGTTGCTCTGCAAGAAAATATGGAATGGAAATCATTACTCTAACAATTCATAAATTCGCTTCACTAATATCAATTTTGCACCTCACTGTTGTTTCTGTAACTTTCTGCATCCACAGTGACCTTTCATTTAAATGCTGATAGTACCGTCTTTTTGAAGATATTTTAAATAGCAAGTAAAGTCAGCGCATGTAGCGTCAACAATGCACATAAATCATTTGAAATGATGACAATACCAAAGCTATAGCCAAGTTTGCTCAAGTGCAGGCAATGGTATCAATGTGATGAGAGCCACCTAGCTGACAGCTATTGTAAGACACATCCTGATTTCAGAGATGTTAAAATGTGAAAAAACATGTATATCTTAGAAGTCAATGAAATATGGTAACAAAATAGGCTGCTTCTGGGGTAGGAACTGGATGGCTAGAGAATAAATGGGAGGGAGATATTTCATTGTATCTTCTATTTTGTAATCCCAGGACCCAAACCCCAAATCTCTGAATCACTTGTGTACTACTCAGTGATAGTAGACACTGTTTTTAATGTAATTTAAGATTGACTTGGCTTGGTGGTGGCTTATATCTGTAATCCCAGCACTTTGGGAAGCCAAGGCGGGTAGATCACCTGAGGTCAGGAGTTCAAGACCACCTTGGCCAACATGGTGAAACCCTATCTCTATTAAAAATACAAAAATTAGCCAGGCATGGTGGCGGGCACCTGTAATCCTAGCTATTCGGGAGGCTGAGGCAGGAGAATTGCTTGAACCCAGGAGGTGGAGGTTGCAGTGAGCTGAGAACGTGTCATCATATTACAGCCTGGGTGACAAGAGCGAGACTCTGTCTCAAATTAAAAAAAAAAAAATTGCCTTGGCTTGGCTGGGTGCAGTGGCTCATGTCTGTAGTCCCAGCACTTTGGAGGCCAAGGCAGGAGGATCACTTGACCCCAGAAGTTCGAGGAAACATGGCAAAACCCCATCTCTACAAAAAATTTAAAAGCTAGCCAGGCATGGTGGTGCTTGCCAGTGGTTCCAGCTACTCAGGAGGCTGAGGACGGGAGATGGCTGGAGCCTGGGAGGTCTAGGCTTCAGTGAGCTATGATCACACCACTGCATTCCAGCCTGGGCAACAGAGCAAGACCCTGTCTCAAAAAAAAAAAAAAAAAAAAAAAAAGACTGACTTGCCTTTTTGGAAGGCTCTATGTTTCAAGGTTATAGTAAAAAACAAAAGAAAACAAAAATCTCTAAAACTTCGGAGCCTTTTCCACAAATACTATTAAATGACTTATGCTCCTCATTTGTAACTGTTTTTTTTTTTTCTTATTTGGGTGTGAAGGGATGGGTGGAGATGATGGGAAGGCTTACATTTATCCCTGTTGAATAAGAGGCTGTTGGAGTCAGCCCACAGGTCTAAAACTTTGATTTTCAAATTCTAGTGTGCATCAGAGCCACCTGGAGGGCTTACTAAAACACAGATTTCTGCTGGGCGCGGTGGCTCATGCCTTAATCCCAGTATTTTGGGAGGCTGAGGTGGGTGGATCACTTGAGGTCAGGAGTTCGAGACCAGCGTGGTCAACATGTCGAAACCCCGTCTCTACTAAAAATACAAAAATTAACCGGGCATGGTGGCGGGCATCTGTAGCCCCAGCTACTCAAGAGACTGAGGCAAGAGAATTGCTTGAACTGGGGTGCAGAGGTTGCAGTGAGCCAAGATCACGCCACTGCACTCCAGCCTGGGCAATGGAGTGAGACTCTGTCTCAAAAAAAAAAAAAAAAAAAAAAAAAGAAAGAAAGAAAGAAAAAAAAGAGATTTCTGGGTCCCACTCCTGGAGTTTCTGATTTCAATAAGTCTGAGGTGGAGCCTAAGAATTTGCATGTCTAACAAGTTCCCAGGTGACGCTGATAGTGCTAGTCTGAGGACTACACTTCGGTCAGTTGCTATAGCCAGCCTGTGGAAATTCCTTTGGATCATGACGCCATCCTTAAGATATTAGCTGTCCCTCCCAGCCTATTTTCTGTACCTTCATCTAAATCATTGACAAAAGGTTGAACAAGGAGAGACTGAGGACCCAGCTTTGCAGCAAGAAGCTTCAGACTGCCAAGGATCTACTCATCAGTTCTTGTAGGATATGATGGGTTTCCATCAGCGAGAAACCAATAGTCATACTCCTCAGCCTACAAGCTCCATCCTGTTCGTGGAAACAGCCCAAGGAACTTTATGAAAACCTTGCTGACATCTAGGCAGGCACAGGGTTTATGTATTCCAGTCCACAGTTTTGAGGGTTGTTGCCATGCCCTGTTGAAGGCTGTGTGACCGTTGGCAATTGCCTAGTTTTCTTTCTCCATCTCATTTGGGGTGAGAGAGGCAGGAGCCAGCTCAGATGCATGAGTTTAAATTAGTCACACTCCTCAGCATCACTGGTCACCGAAAGATTCTCTCTTGTTTTATTTAGTTGATTATACCCCGTATTAATCAGAGTAGGCTAGGATTGAGAGGTGACAGCATGATGGCAGCCCTCACAGCCCTCGCTCGCTCTTGGTGCCTCCTCGGCCTCGGCGCCCACTCTGGCCGCGCTTGAGGAGCCCTTCAGCCCGCCACTGCGCTGTGGGAGCCCCTTTCTGGGCTGGCCAAGGCCGCAGCCGGCTCCCTCAGCTTGCAGGGAGGTGTGGAGGGAGAGGCGCGGGCGAGAACCAGGGCTGCCCGCGGTGCTTGCAGGCCAGCGCGAGTTCCGGGTGGGCATGGGCTCGGCGGGCCCCACACTCGTAGCGGCCGGCCCCGCCGGCCCCGGGCAGTGAGGGGCTTAGCACCTGGGCCAGCAGCTGCTGTGATCAATTTCTCGCCGGGCCTTAGCTGCCTTCCCGTGGGGTAGGGCTCGGGACCTGCAGCCCGCCATGCCTGAGCCTCCCCGGATCCGCTGAGGGCTCCTGCACGGCCGGAGCCTCCCCTATGAGCGCCACCCCTGCTCCACGGGTGCCCAGTCCCATCGACCCCCCAAGGGCTGAAGAGGGCGGGGGCACGGCGTGGGACTGGCAGGCAGCTCCACCTGCGGCCCCGGTGCGGGATCCACTGGGTGAAGCCAGCTGAGCTCCTGAGTCTGGTGGGGACTTGGAGAACCTTTATGTCTAGCTAAAGGATTGTAAATACACCAATCGGCACTCTGTATCTAGCTCAAGGTTTGTAAACACACCAATCAGCACCCTGTGTCTAGCTCAGGGTTTGTGAATGCACCAATGGACACTCTGTATCTAGCTACTCTGGTGGGGACTTGGAGAACCTTTGTGTCCACACTCTGTATCTAGCTAATCTAGTGGGGAGGTGGAAAACTTTTGTGTCTAGCTCAGGGATTGTAAACGCACCAATCAGCACCCTGTCAAAACGGACCAATCAGCTCTCTGTAAAATGGACCAATCCACTCTCTGTAAAATGGACCAATCAGCAGGATGTGGGTGGGGCCAGATAAGAGAATAAAAGCAGGCTGCCCGAGGCAGTAGTGGCAAACCGGCTGGAGTTCCGTTTTGCGATGTGGTTTCGTTCTTCTTTCGCTCTTTGTAATAAATCTTGCTACTGCTCACTGTTTGGGTCTACACTGCCTTTATGAGCTGTGACACTCCCCAGGAAGGCCTGCAGCTTCACTCCTGAAACCAGCGGGACCACGAACCCATCAGAAGGAAGAAACTCCAAACACATCCCAATATCAGAAGGAACAAACTCCAGACACGCCGCTTTTAAGAACTGTAACACTCACCGCGAGGGTCTGCAGCTTCATTGTTGAAGTCCGTGAGACTAAGAATCCTCCAATTCCGGGCACAGGATTATGCTGCAGTAACAAACAACCCAAGTCCCAGGAGCTTAAAACAAGAGTTTATTTTTCACCAAAATTATCTATTTAATAATGCAGGTTGGCAAGATGGAGACTAGGGGAGGGTTCAGCTAGTTGTATTTTTTCAGGGATCCAGGGTGATGGAAGTTTCTTCTCAACTTTTGTCTTCAGGATCATCTGTGGTAGTGGATCAGAGCATTCAATGATCTTCCACCACAAGTTAAATGCTCTGGTCTAAGCTAGCACACATGACTTCCACCCACAACTCTTCAGGTAGCACTGATTCCATGTCCTTGCCCAACTACAGGGTGGAGGAGGCAGAGAAGTACAATCCACCCAGGAGCTTGGGAGGAAAGGAGAATAGCCTCTGAATCATAGAAGACTCCATGGCAGCTGCTTTTGTCTCCCTTTGTCACTGCCACGCCTCCTCTTCCTCCATAAATAGACATTCCAGTGCTTTTGGTGTGTATCCTCTTTATTTGCATGTGTTCTTGCAAAATGTGTAGCGTTGTATTATGGACATGTGCTTGTGATGTATGTAGATCTATTGCGCTGCAAGGCTTTTAGTCTATTTTTCTCTTTTTTTTTTAATTTAACACTTTTTAATATCCATCCATTTTGCTAAATGTGAATCTAGTCTTATAACTGCTGCGCATATCACATTTTACTTATTTACTCTCTCAGTGATGGGTATCTAGATCACATCTTGCTGTCATAATACCACTGTGAACTTTTTTTTTTTTTTTTTTGCCTGATGAGAAGGCATTTTTATATATTGGGGCTAACCTTCTGTCTTTTACATTCCATGTGTATTTTTATCAGTCTGTGATATGTATGTTAACTTTCTTCATGTCTCCCATGGAATCAAAATCCTTAATTTTGGCCAGGCATGGTGGCTCATGCCTGTAATCCCAGCACTTTGGGAGGCCAAGGTGGGCAGATCCCTTGAGGTAAGACAGGCAGATCACTTGAAGTCAGGAGTTCAAGACCAGCCTGGCCAACATGGTGAAATCTCACCTCTACTAAAAATACAAAAATTAGCCAGGTGTGGTGGTGCACGCCTGTAATCCCAGCTACTTGGGAGGCTGAGGCATGGGAATCACTTGAACCTGGAAGGTGGAGGTTGCAGTGAGCCGAGGTCGCGCCACTACACTCCAGCCTGGGCAACAGAGCAAGACTGTCTCAAAAAAAAAAAAAAATCCTTAATTTTGTATTATCAAATCAGTGAAATTGTTGCCTATAGATATACTTTCAGAGTTTTAAAAAATTCTTCTGTATCCCTCTGTTGTCCTATATTATAATTCATATAATTTATTATTTTCCATTTTCAAATTTAGATATAGAATCCATTGGATTTCCAGCTTCATATATTGTATTAGGGAGATATGCAATTGTATTTTTCTTTATATGAGTAATCAGTCTTCCCAATGCAACTTATTAAATATTCTGTCCTTTCATAATTGGCATGTGGTGATTACTTTTTCTGTATCTATGGTGTCTGCAGCTGTCTCATTTATTTATTTGTATATTTTCTTTTTCTATATTAACTAGTCCTACCATAAGTCTATGTACTGATACATATTTTCAAAGAACAAACTTTTGGTTTTATGAATTTTCTTTGTTTTCTATTTCATTAAATTTTTAATTTTTAAATTCCTTCTTATTTCTTTATGCCTGCTTTATTACTCTTTCTCCAACTTCTTGAGCTAAATATTTACCCATTTATTTAAATCTATTTTGTTCTCTGGTAAATGTAAGGAAAGCTATATAATATTTAACTCTCTAAGTAAGTATTGCTTTAAGCATGCCACTCAGGATTTGACTTATATTAATCATCATTCAACTCTCAGAATTACATAATTTCCCCTATGGTTTTTTAACCCAAGAATTATAAAATAATGTTTTGTTTCCAGATATATGAGATTTTTGGTTATCATTTTGTCATTGACGTATATTTTTTAGTCAGATAACGTAATCTGTGAGATGTATTTTATTTAAGCTGCCTTCATGGTATTGTATATGGAAAATTTGTTGTAAGCATTCCGTGTGCTTAAAAAAATGTAGGCTAGATGCAGTGGCTCACATTTCTAATCTTAGTACTTTGAGAGGCTGGGGTGGGAGGATCCCTGAGCCCAGGAGTTCAAGACACACCTGGTCATCATAGCAAGACCCCATCTCTATGCAAAAAAAAAAGTTTTACTAGTTGGGGGTGGTGGCGTTTGCCTGTGGTCCCAGCTACTTGGGAGGCTGAGGTGTGAGGATTGCTTGAACCCCGGAGGTCAAGGCTGCAGTTAGTAGTGATCGTGTCACTGCACTCCAGCCTGGGTCACAGAGTGAGGACACACAAAAAATGTATATCCTCTGAATTGCTTGTATTAGTCTGTTTTCCTACTGCTATAAAGAACTGCCCAAGACTGGGTAATTTATAAAGGAAAGAGGTTTAATTGACTCACAGTTCAGCATGACTGCGGAGGCCTCAGGAAACTTACAATCATGACGGAAGGCAAAGAGGAGGCAAGACACCTTCTATACGAGGCAGCAGGAAGGAGAAGTGCTAAGTGAAGGGGGACGAGCTCCTTATAAAGCCATCAGATCTCATGAGAACTCACTCACTATTACGAGAACAGCATGGGGGAAACCGCCCCCATGATTCAATTACTTCCACCTGCTCTCTCCCTTGACACATGGGGATTACGGGGATTATAACTCAAGAGGAGATTTAGGTGGGGACACAAAACCTAACCATATCATTGCTTAAGCATACTAATTTTATTTTTCAGATCCTCTAGAGCTCTGCCTTTTTGTTATTATTGTTGCTATTACTTGATCTACCAGTTTTTGAGAAGAGTGAATTAAAATCCTCACTGCAGGCCAGCCACGGTGGCTCACGCCTGTAATCCCAGCACTTTGGGAGGCCGAGACCGGCGGATCACCTGAAGTCGGGGGTTTGAGACCAGCCTGGCCAACATGGTGAAAACGCAAATCTACAAAAATATAAAAATTAGCCGGGCATGATGGTGGGTGCCTGTAATCCCAGCTACTTGGGAGGCTGAGGCATGAGTATTGCTTCAACCCAGGAGGTGGAGGTTGCAGTGAGCCAAGATCATGTCATTGCACTCCAGCCTGGGCAACAGAGTGAGACTCCCTCTCCAAAAATAAAAATAAAAAGAATAAAATAATAAAATAAAATCCTCAATGCAATTGATTTACCTATTTCTCCCCAGTTGGTCAGTACTGCTTTATATATTTAGGTGGTATTGTTAGCCAAATATATAGTCCTTTATATGTTTACATGATATTATTGGGTAAAATATATATATATTCTTTTTATTTTTTATTTTTATTTTTGAGACAGAGTGAAGTCCAGACTAGAGTGTAGTGGTATGATCTCAGCTCACTGCAACCTCCATTTCCCGGGTTCAAGTGATTGTTGTGCTTCAGCCTCCTGAATACCTGGGATTACAGGCATGTGCCACCATGTCCGGCTAATTTTTGCATTTTTAGTAGAGAAGGGGTTTCGCCATGTTGGCCAGGCTGGTCTTGAACTTCTGACCTCAAGTGATCTGCCTGCCTCAGCCTCCCAAAGTGCTGAGATTACAGTTGTGAGCCAATGAGCCCAGCTAATATATATCTATTCTTTATATGCCAGTATATAATGCTCCTCTTGCCCCTTATGATATGTATATTTTGGTCTTAAATTCTGTTTTGTCAGTGATTCTGCTTGCTATCCCAGGTTTCTTTTGGTTCATATTTGCTTGGTATTTTCCCTGTCTCTGGATGATTTCTATGTAGACATTTCCTTGTGTATTCTTCAGCTTCATTAAAATGTTTCTAGATGTGAATTTTTAAAATTACGCTTTATTTATTATCAAAAATAGTAATTGGCCGGGCAAGGTGGCTCATGCCTGTAATCCCAGCACTTTGGGAGGCTGAGGCGGGTGGATCACAAGGTCAGGAGATCGAGACCATCCTGGCTAATATGGTGAAACCCTGTCTCTACTAAAAATACAAAAAATTAGCCAGGCATGTTGGCAGGTGCCTATAGTCCCAGCTACTTGGGAGGGTGAGGCAGGAGAATGGCATGAACCTGGGAGGCGGAGCTTGCGGTGAGCCGAGATAGCGCCACTGCAGTCCAGCCTGGATGAAAGAGCAAGACTCCGTCTCAAAAAAAAAAATTAATCTTTAAAATTATTTTTAGTCAGTTTTGGAAAATACATAGCTGTTATCATTTTAAATATTTCCTGTTGTGGCAGACACACTCTAAGGTGCCCCGTCTCTCCATCGATCTCTACCTCCTGGTGTTCATGCCTTTGTGTAATCCCCTCCCCTTGTGGGTGGGCAGAACCTGTGACCTGCTTCTAAGCAATAGGATATGGTGATGGTGATGGGCTGTCACTTTTGTGAGTGTTACATTATATAAGAGTCTGTCTTTTTTGACTCACTCCAGAGGCTCTCCTTGCTTGCTAGATGAAGTAAACAGCCAAGTTGGGAAAGCTCATGTGGCAAGGAACTGTGGGTGGCTTTGAGAAACTGTGGATGGCATCCAAGAGCTGCCAGCAAGAAGCTGGGGCCTTCTTGCCCACAACTGCAAGGGAATAATTTCTGACCACAATCTCAGCAAACTTTGAAGCAGACTCTTCCCCCATTGAGACTCCAGATGAGAATGCAGCCCAGCCAACACCTTGATTGCTGTCTGCAAAACCTTAAGCAGAGGATCCAGTTAAGCCATGTGCAAGCTCCTGGCCAACATAAACTGTAAAACAATAAATGTGTGTTATCTGAAGCCACCAATTTAAAAAACGAAAACAGTCAACCCCCTGTATCTGCAGGTTCCATGTCATTGGATTCAACCAGCTGCAAATTAAAAGTATTTGGAAAAAATACAAATAAAAAACCAATACAGTATGACAACTATTTACATTGTATTAGGTATTATAAGTAACCTAGAGAGGATTTCAAGTTTATGGGAACATGTGCACAGGTTACATGCAAATATTATGCCATTTTATATAAGGGACTTTTGTGTCTGTGAATTTTGCTATCTTTGGGGGATCCTGGAACCAATCCCCCAAGGTTATCAAGAGAATAACCATACATCTCCTTTTATCCTTTTTATGCTTTCCTTCTGAGACTCTGATTAGATAGATATTTTAGACCTTCTCATTCTGTCTTCCATATCTCTTAACTTTTGTGTCTTCCATCTCCTTGTCTCTCTGGGTAACTCCTTTATGTATAACTTCCAGTTAACTAATTCTTTCTTTGTTTGAGACAGGGTCTTGCTCTGTCACCCAGGCTAGAGTGTAGTGTCACGGTCTCACTGGCTCACTTCAACCTCTGCCTCCGAGGCTCAGGTGATCCTCCTGCCTCAGCCTCCCAAGTGGCTGGGACCACAGGCATGTGCCACCATACCTGGGTAATTTTTTGTATTTTTGTAGAGATGGGGGTCATACTATGTTGTTCAGGCTGGTCTCGAACTCCTGGGCTCAAGTGATCCTCCAGCCTTGGCCTCCCAAAGTGCTGGGATTACAGGCATGAACCACTGTGTCCGGCCACTGCTGGTCATTTTTGACAGTATCTTGTTGTTTACTTAGTTTTGTGATTCCTCAACATTTCGTACATAGTTATCTTAAGTCTGTAACTGACAGTTCAAATATCTAAAGTCCCTGGAGGTCAAACTCTATGGTTAATTGTCTCCAGACTTTCATTCATAGCGGTTGGTTTCCTTATGTTTTGATCACCTTTGATTGTGAGCTCATTTTAGCTGACCTGTCTGTGGAAAATGTGGAGACCTAAATTGAGAAATCCTTTCTCAGAGCAGAGAGGATTTGCACTTGAACCCATAGGAGCTATTGATCTGGATTTATTCCAACCCCCAATCCAGGCTCTTATGCTTAATCTGGGAAACTCAGTTACATTCTCTCTCACCTTGCCACAGGTCCAAGGCCTAGGTTTCAAGTAAATGCCACCCTTGATGGAGATGAATACTTTGGTTTTGTCTCAAAACATTTTACTTTTAAATTTTTTGGGGGGAGGCTTGGTGTTATCCCTTATGGCCTGTAAGTTTAGGAAATCAAAAAAGCCATATTTTACACGGAATTCAGTTGGTTTGAAGAATATATTCTCCCTATTTCCTGATAATCTAGTCCACCACTGCTAAAATCTTTTGGTTTCTTTTTAAATATGCCTATTGTAGACAATTTATTGCTGGATTTTTTTACCTGCTCTGAGAGTCTCTAACTTTTAGTTGATGAATTTATTGCATTTACAATGGTTGTAATTGCTGTTAGAAAAGTACAAATTTCTATTCCTATCTTGATTTTTTATTTATTGCCTTTTCTTTTTATCACCTCCTTTTCACTGGATAGATCAAATTTTCCTCTGTTGTCTTAAAAGCTACACATTCTATTTTATGGTTAAAAGCTACACATTCTATTCTGTGGTTACGGTTAAAAGCTATACATATCTATCTTATGGTTAAGAGCTTTGTTTATTTGCTTCTACTGAAATCTTAAATTTATCACTCTCTTATCTTCCCCTTAAAAGACAAGTAAAATCTATATTCCTATTTACCCCATCTATTTTTATTTTTAACTATTTTAATATGTAATATTTCCACTTGATTCTTCTTATGACTTCATTCCTGATATACTCGTTAATTAATATAACATCACTGCAGAACTTGGCATCTTAAAACAACAAACATTTATTTATGTATTTATTTATTTATTTTTTCTGAGACAGCGTCTCTCTCTGTTGCCCAGACTGGAGTGCAGTGGTGTGATTTCGGCTCTCTGCAACCTCTGCCTCAGCCTCCCTAATAGCTGGGATTACAGGCACTCGCCACCACGCTTGGCTAATTTTTTTTATTTTTGGTAGAGACGGGGTTTCACCAGGTTGCCCAGGCTGGTTTCAACTCCTGACCTCAGGTGATCTGCCCACCTCAGCCTCCCAAAGTGCTAGGACTATAGGCGTGAGCCACACCACCCAGCCATTAAAACAACAAACGTTTATTATTTCAGTTTCCATGGGTCAGAAATTTAGGAGTGGCTTAGTTAGGTGGCTCTGGCTCATAATCTCTCATGAGTTTGCGGCCAAGGCTGCTGTTAAGTGAAGACTTGCCTGGGGCTGGAGGACTGGTTCCCAAGGTTGCTCACTCACAAGGCTATAGGCAGGAGGCCTCAGGTCCTTGCTGACTCTTTGTAGGAGGGATCAGTTCCACAACACATGGGCCTCTCAGTAGCGTTTCTTGAGAACCCCCCTATATAGCAGCTGGCTTTTTCCAGAACCAACAACCCAACACGGTGAAAGCAAGAAGAAGCCATGGTGTATTTTATGACTGTCATTTCTGCCATAGTCCATTCGTTAGAAGTGAATCATTAGTCCAGCTCATACTCAAGGAGGAGGGAATTAATCACTACTTGAAGAGAGGATTATGAAATAATTTAGGCACATAGTTTAAAACGACCCCATCTGTTAATATTACTAATACTCTTAACTCTTTGAAGATTCCTATTTTAAATCCTTATGAATTTTGCTTCCCATACTATATTTTGTCCCATTTTCTCCACGTCTGTGTATGTACTAGGGTATGTACTCCTCAGCTATCTGTAGGTTTCCTTGGAAATATCCAATGCTCTATTTCTTGGGGACATTCATGTCCTCTCAGGTGCCCCGATGAGTTCATGGAGAATGACATGGGCCAGGCACGGTGGCTTATGCCTGTAATCCCAGCACTTTGGGAGGCCGAGGTGGGTGGATCACCTGAGGTCAGGAGTTCGAGACCAGCCTGGCCAACATGGCAAAACCCCGTCTCTACTAAAAATACAAAAATTAGCCGGGCATGGTGGCAGGCGCCTGTAATCCCAGCTACTCGGGAGGCTGAGGCAGGAGAATCACTTGAACCCGGGAGGCGGAGATTGCAGTGAGCCCAGATTGCGCCACTGCACTCCAGCCTGGGCAACAAAAGCGAAACTCCATTTCAAAAAAAAAAAAAGAAAAGAAAGAAAGAGAATGGCATGGATGGAGCCAAGCATACAGCCCCTGGCACCATGCAGTCACAACTGATTCCCCATCCTCCCCTTCCTGTTTGTCACTGGGCCACCAAGCAATGCCTCTGGTCAGGCATTCATGCTTGAACTCTTAGGAGGAAGCTGTGCTGTGAGGAGGACGCTTTCCCACGGGACTTCACCAGCCCTGGGGGTGAGACAGAGAAGGGGGGAAAAGTGAATGTTTGAGGGAATCTGGTCAACCCATACCTGTTCTCACCAGCTTCTCACTCCAGCTGTGCTACTAGGGTGCCCTGATATTACCCCACCATCACTGGAACCTGAGCTATTGCTCCTGACTTCTATCACAAAGAGGCAGTGGGGCAGCAATGACTGTCCCAATCAATGTGGGGAAGAAGTAAGAGAAGGCCCTGAGAGAGCTCTTCCAACCCTTCCTCTCACTGGTGGATCAGGTGGATGCCCACTGCCATGGACACTTTAGTTCAAAGCAGCTCTTGCTCTTCCTGGGAGCTCTGACAGTTTCTAGGTTTGTTGCTCAGGTCCAAGCTTCTCTGCTTCTGTAGTTTCTCTGGGGTTGACTTTGTGAACAGGAACCTGCAGCCCACCCTAGATTGCTATCTTCTGAGGAATCAGAAGTGCTCCCACTCCTGTTTCTTTTCTCTGAGTCTCTATAAAATAATGACAGGGTGTGGATTAGATCAGGGCCACACACTCAAATGCCTGCTGGAGCTGGCTAGATTAAAATAATAAATAGGCTGGGTGCAGTGGCTCATGCCTGCAATCACAGCACTTTGGGAGACCGAGGAGGGTGGATCACTTGAGGTCAGGAGTTTGGGACGAGCCTGGCCAACATGGTGAAACCCTGTCTCTACTAAAAATAACAAAATTAGCTGGGCATGGGGACGGGCGCCTATAATCCCAGCTACTCGGGAGGCTGAGGCAGGATAATTGCTTGAACCCGAGAGGCGAAGGTTGCAGTGAGCCAAGATCGTGCCACTGCGCTCCAGCCTGGGTGACAGAGTGAGACTCCATCTCAAAATAAAATAAAATAAAGTAATGAATGAAGCTGGTCAAGGGAGAGGCACTAGGGAATGGCAGGGCCAGGGTGGACGGGAGTGTGTATGCTGCATGTACCTGCTTCATCTATTGAGGGCAGTGATACCCACTGCTGGGCAGGAAGGAAGGTCAGTGCCATCATGAAGCCAGAAAGGCTGATTTGATGGGAAATTTTATTCATTTAAATATCTGAGGGTTGAATTCAGCTGGAGTCACCAGTTTGCCATCCCTGGTTTTTTAATCCCTAAAGGTTTTTTTCAGATTTAACAAGCCAGAAGTCTTGGAGTCTGGAGTATTCCCTTGAGTAACCTGCCAGGCTAAGAACTTTCTCAAATATGGTAAAAACGCCCATTTGGCACAGCCCGTCCTTAGTAAGCCCATACTAGAGCCTTGTCTAGTTCACCAGCCTGCAATTCTTGGAAACTGCTTGTTCCTCTTTTAGAAAATTAGAACAACATTTGCCCATTTCCAGTCAGGTGGGGCCTCACCCATTCTCCAAAATTCTTCCAAGATTATAAACACTAGTGGAGCCTTGGAATTTACCACAGCAGCCCTTGTTGACTTTAGCTTTTTTATTTTTTTCTTTTTAAACCAGCCTCACCTCTTTCTATGCTTTATTTCCCCCCTATATTCTCTTTCTATGGGACTCTATCGTTTAAAAAATATTTGTCTTGGCCCAGTATGGTGGCTCATACCTGTAGTCCCAGCACATTGGGAGGCTAAGGCAGGAGGATCACTTGAGCCCAGGAGTTCGAGACCAGCCTGAGCAACATGGCAAAATCTAGTCTTTATGAAAAATACAAAAATTAGCCAGGTGTGGTGGCAGCTACTCAGGAAGCTGAGGTGGCAGCTACTAGTCCCATCCACTCAGGAAGATGAGGTGGAAGGATTCCTTGAGCCCAAGAAGTAAAGGCTGTGGTAAGCCTTGGTTGTGCCACTGCACTCCAGCCTGGGTGACAGAGCAAGACCCTGTCTCAATAAAATAAAAAATGAAAAATAATTTGTCTTTACTCTGACAGACCAGGTTTTTGGTTTGCTTGTTTGTTTGTTTTTTGAGATGGAGTTTCATTCTCATTGCCCAGGCTGGAGTGCAATGGCACAATCTTGGCTCATCGCAACCTCCAACTCCCGGGTTCAAGTGATTATCCTGCCTCAGCCTCCTGAGTAGCTGGGATTACAGGCATGCACCACCACACCCAGCTAATTTTGTATTTTTAGTAGAGATGGGGTTTCTCCATGTTGGTTAGTCTGGCCTCGAACTCCCGACCTCAGGAGATCCGCCCACCTCAGCCTCCCAAAGTGCTGGGATTACAGGAGTGAGCCACTGCGCCTGGCCTCAGACCAGGTTTTGACTCTTTCTTCTCACATACCTCTTCCCCCACTTACATCCAGTCAAATGCAGAATCCCATCATAGTTGTGCCATCTTAGGCAAATCACCTAAATTCTCTGTAGCTCAGTGTTCTCTTCTGTAAAATGGAGGAGTTGAACTGGTTGGTCACTGAGGTCCCTTGGAAGACTATCTTTGGGTTAGGGATCCCTTTGACAATTGGTTAAAAACAGTGGCCCCGGGGCCAGGTACAGTGGCTCACGCCTGTAATCCTAGCACTTTGGGAGGCCGAGGTGGGCAGATCACTTGAGGTCAGGAGTTCCATACCAGTCTGGTCAACATGGTGAAACCCCGTCTCTACTAAGAATACAAAAATTAGCCGGGCACGGTGGTGGGCGCCTGTAATCCCAGCTACCCAGGAAGCTAAGGCAGGAGAATCACTTGAACCCGGGAAGCGGAGGTTGCATTGAGCCAAGATCACGCCATTGCACTCCAGCCTGGGTAACAAGAGCGAGACTCCATATCAAAACAAACAAACAAACAAACAAAAACAAACAACCCCCCCCAAACCAAACAAAACAAAAACGGTGGCCCTTCATTTCAGAAAAGCAATCCCATGTCATGTACTGGCTGACTTTGTTTTGTCTGCTACAACCATCATCCCCTTCTTTCAGGGGACATTTCTCCCCCACGCCTACTGTTTGGCTCTGGATGGGAGACCAATGAAAGTACCCCATCTCACTCTGCCCAGAAGAGTGGGTACTTCAAGTCCTTTTCTGTTGGTTTGTTTGGTTTGTTCTTCTTTTAAACGGAACTGGGAGGGAAGGTTTCTTTTCCTTTTTGGTAGAGGACCAAGGTTATGAATCTTGAACTGCCTGGGGCCATATTTCCTGGTGTGCATAGAAAGCCCTTCTGTGTGGAAGAGAAGAAAGGCTGCAGAGAGGGGGAAGCCCAGAGTTTGGGGAAAGTGGGTGAAGTAGGAAGGGGAAGGGTGGGGGTTATGGGAAAGGGGAGAGAAATTCTTGCTGGCATTCAGTCCCGGATTCCACTGTCACTGAAGCTCAGCACATTCTTCCTATCCTTTGGCTCAGTGAATCAATAAATTCCTTTTTGTTATTGTTGTTTAAGTGAATTTTAGTTGATGAACTGACATTAGCAGCAGAATGAGTCCTGATTAGCAGAGGCACTACCTTCCCCTGCTTTGCATTGTTGACCCTGATATTTTCATACTGCCTCGCGTTTCTTGTCCTCATTCTCATTGTCCTCAGATTCTAACCTCTTTTAAGGCATCTTTAAAATATCTTACACAACTCTTACACCAGTGCTCAATTGGGTCTGAGGGAATTAAACAGAACTTTATTTTCTCACATGTCCCCATGTTATTACCCTCTCTCCCACTGGACTATACATTTTTGGATGACAAAGACACTATTTTCTAATGTTTATAAGTTCCTTTAAAATAGGCCAGGCATGGAGGCTTACACCTGTAATCCCAGCACTTTGAGAGACCGAGGTGGGCAAATCACTTCAGGTCAGGAGTTCAAGACCAGTCTGGCCAACATGGCGAAACCCCATCTCTACTAAAAATACAAAAATTAGCTAGTGTGGTGGTGAGTGCCTGTAATCCCAACTACTTGGGAGGCTGAGGTACAAGAATCGTTTGAGCCCAGGAGGCTGAGGTTGCAGTGAGCTGAGATCATGTCACTGCACTCCAGCCTGGGTGACAGAGGGAAACTCTTGTCTCAATAAATAAATAATAAATGTTCCTGAAAACTGCTGTACACATAGTAGGAACCCAAAAATGCTGGAGATTGTGATGATGGTGGTGACCGTGTCATGAAAGGAGCCCATCTCATTGAGTGCCAGTGTCACTGAGAGGCTGTGAATCAAACGATTGACAAGGTCGCAGGGCCACAGTGGATATCCTTCTGCTAGGAGTCCTGAGGTCCAGCCTAGAAGCTAAGAGTACGTGTGACCCCCCTCACAGGCCCCCTGGGAATTTCAGTTGGGCCTGGCTGACTGGCTGGGCAGCAGCTCAGGAATTTCTCCTGATGAATGGAGCACTGGGCAGTGAGACAAGATACTGACAGGAGTGGCTAAAGCCATGGTCTATTTTTAACATTAGGGCCAGAGTGCCCTGGCACGGCTAGCGGATCTCTGACCTAAGGCCCTGAGAAGCTCCTGAAATTATAGTGAGGAAGCTCTGTGCATACGCAGCACACACATGCACACATCACGGATGTTGTCAGCAGATAATACAAATAATATGCCTTATCTATTTATGTAAGTGCAATTTTTCAGAAACATTTTCTCCAGCAATAGAAATTAAAAGCACATATTAATCATGAGTATTTCAGGAGTAGAGGGTGGATGCTTGAGGGTGTGATGCCGACATTGAGGTGTTTAGACTTGCAAAAGGATCCTTTATATCCGGAAAGCAGAGTCCGGTGGGCTCTGACAAGAGAAATGTCGTCAGCCAAACGCAGGATCCCTGGCAGAGCAGAGGTGGGTCAGTGTTTCCCAGCCTTGACTGCACACTGTGATCCCCAGGGGACGCCCGGATTGCATCAGGCCAATTAAGTCAGAATCTCTCGCAGGGGGAGGCGCGGATAGAGTCCGGTACCCAGGCATCGGTGTTTCGCAGGTCCCCGGGTGATTCCCACGCTCAGCCAAGGTTGAGAACCGCAATTTAGGTGGTTGGGGTTGGGGGCGAGAAAGCCGTGAGTCCAGTTAACCACGAGAGGGCGCGGTGGAGCAGGAAACTCAAGGTTGGGCGGAGGCCGCACATTTTTCTCTCCAGCATCAAATACCAGAGATGCGGATCTCTTTTACAGATAGAGACCGAGGCGCGTGGCCAACGGTGATCGCGCGGGAGCAAAACTGCACCACCCTGTCTTGTGCTTTGGCCATTTCACGGCTTCCGCTTCCAGGAAAAGCCAGGGAAGTTCCGCCTCTGTGGCTAAGCTTCAGCCGTGCAAGGCAGGGCTCAGCTTCGGTACAGTTCCAAACTGGGCGTCGTCCTGGCTGGGTTCTCCAGCCACCGAGACACACCTGTGTTCCTCCCTGCTCACTCTGGCACCTAGGACAGGTCCCTCAGGCAGTGAAGGGATTCCTTAAGGGGAGGCAAAGAGAGGAAGGCAGTAATTTCTTTTTATTTTTTAAATTGACAAATAAAAATTGTATGCATTTGTGGTATACAACATGATGTTTTGAAATATGTATACCTGGCAGAATGGCTTTGTCAAGAGAGTTAACATATGTACTACCTCACAGACTTACTTATTTGTTGTGGGAACGCTTAAAATCTACTCTCCTAGCAATTTTCAAGTATTGTGTACAATGCATTAATTATAGTCATCAGATTGTACAATAGATCCCTTGAACTAAGTCTTGCTGTCTAATTCTGTATCCTTTGACCAACACCTCCACCCTCCACCCCGACGCCAGCCCTTGGTGACCACC